>NC_000005.10:110715867-111018897 GCF_000001405.40 Homo sapiens
CTGGAGAATTCATCTACATGATAAAACTTTGGTCGCTATAACCTCTTATTATAAACCAGACATTCCTTTCTACTGATAATAACTCTTTCAACCAATTGCCAATCAGAAAATTTTTAAATCTACCTATGTCCTGGAACCCACCACTCCCAGCTTTGAGTTGTCCCACCTTTCTAGACCAAGCCAATGTATATCTTAATTGTATTTGATTGGTGCCTCATGTCTCCCTAAAATGTATAAAACCAAGCTGTACCCTGACCACCTTGGGCACATATTCTTAGGGTCTCCTGAGGACTGTGTCATGGGCCATGGGTACTCGTATTTGGCTCAGAATACATTTCTTCAAATATTTTACAGCAGGGGGCCCCGATCTTTTTGGCACCAGAGACCAGTTTGGTGGAAGAAAATTTTTCCACAGATGGGGTGGGAGAATTATTTTCAGATGATTCAAGTGCATTCCATTTACGATGCACTTTATTTCTATTATTGTTACATTGTAAGTAATAATGAAATAATTATACAACTCCCCATAATGTAGAATCAGTGGGAGACCTAAGCTTGTTTTCCTGCAACCAGACAGTTCCATCTGGTGGCGATGGGAGACAGTGACAGATCATCAGTCATTAGATTCTCATAAGGAGCTCACAACCAAGATCTCTTGCATGCACAGTTCACAATAGAGTTTGCACTCCTATGAGAATCTAATGCTGCTGCTGATCTGACAGGAGGTAGAGCTCAAGTGGTAATGTAAGCAAAGGGGAGTGGCTATAAATACAAATGAAACTTCATTTGCTCACTCACCACTCACCTCTTGCTGTGGTTACTAACAGGCCACGGCATTAGTCTGTGGCCAGGGTTATGGGGATCCCTGTTTTACAGATTGTCACTCTTTTTGCCAACTAAACCTTAGTCCTAAACTTGAAGAAACAGTTCTGTACTGGTGCTGTGTTTTAGAAGAACATTAACCATGACTGAGGAAGAAAAGCTACAGGTTTTAAGGACACTAAGCACTGGTTGGCTTTTTTGTGTGTGTAGCAATGGTACAGGATAAACTGGACAGTAATTACAAAAAGCCAATGCACACAGTGTATGAAGTATACAGCAATTTGTCTATCCATCACTAAGCAGACAATAAAGTAGGGATAATCAGAGTATTTCTAGACTAGTTGAAAGACCACTTTGTACCAGGGACATGAGGTCATTATAGGCAATCTGGACTAGAACAAAAACTGTAAAATTTATTCTTCTCAGACAACTGCCCTTTATATCCTCTCCTGGTCCTCTTGTAAAAAGTAACATTTTCAGTATTTGTTACCCCACCCCCCGCCACATACACACACACAATGTAACATCCGTGACAAAGACATATGGCCATGAAATTTTATATTCTATTAATAAAAGTATAAAGTTTTCTTTAACTGTGGGCTAGCTGTAGTTAACAGAGGTCCAAGAATCCAAGATCTGAATGAGTTCAGTTTTAATGACGCCATTTACTCTGTTGCTAATACTTGGACCCATGCTGATTTGACATGATCCTTGAAAAAGTCATTTAAAAGGCCAACTATCAAAGTATTAACTCATTACTCAGTAATTCTGCTTCCATCCCATCATAAGTTGCTCAAATCCCATCTGACAACAAAGATAGCAAAACTGATGTGTCCTCTTGCCCAATGTCCTTAAGCAACCTAAGGTACGATTTAAGTCATTGTGTTTATATACAGGTCTGATATGATTTGGCTCTGTCCCCACCCAAATCTCATCTCGAATTGTAACCTCCATAATCCTCACATGTTGAGAGAGGAACTTGGTGGGAGGTGACTGGATCATGGGGTGGTTTCTTCCATGCTGTTCTCATGATAATGAGGGAGTTATCAGGAGATGTGATGGTTTTATAAGGGGCTCTCCCCCTTTCACTCCTCACTCTTCTCTCTCCTGACACCATGTGAAGGTCCTTGCTTCCCCTTTGCTTTCTGCCACAACTGCATGTTTCCTGAGGCCTCCCCAGCTATGTGGAACTGTGAGTCAATTAAACCTCTTTCCTTTATAAATTACCCAGTCTCAGGTAGTATGTGTATAGCAGTGAGAATGGACTAATACAAGGTCTTTAACTTAGTTCAAATCTGTATGTGTTTAAAAGTATATTGAATATTTTTCTTAGAACTAAGAAGGATCTGAATATTTTTGGTCTTTAATTATCCAATTATTTCACTTGTCAGTTTATTTCTATATAAACTGTAATATTAAAATTATACATATTTGTCAAATTTAGTATAAATCTACATATATTTGTTTGCAAATATGTTTATGTATTTGATTATAGAATGCCGTGCTAGATAGACTTCATTGGGGATATTCTGTGTTATCATTTTAAAAATCAGAAAAAATCTGAATTCCAAAAGTCTACCTCCAAGGCTTTCAGATAGGTGATTAAGAACTGTATCCATACCAGGATTATTATGAAGTTTTCAAAACAGAATACATCTTAAGGCGAAAATATTAAATTGCAAAATTATATTGATGAGAAGCATTTCTGGATAGCTGTTAATCTTATTTATGTTCTTTGTATGTGATGAGTGAGAAGCATTTCTGGATAGCTGTTAATCTTATTTATGTTCTTTGTATGTGATGAGTCATTATCTCTTGCTGCTTTCCAGATTTTCTCTTTGCAGTTAGCTTCCAGCATTTTTCCTATGAAACGTCTGAGAGTGGATTTCTTCTGTATTTATCCTAATTGGAGTTCACTGAGCTTCTTAGGTGTGAAGATTAATTTTTTTTTAGTGTTTGTGAAGTTTTTTGCCATTATCTCCTTGAATATTTTTTATACTCCTTTCTCTTTCTCTTCTCTTCTAACACTCCCATTACATGAAAGTTGGTGTGCTTAAGGGTTACCATATTTCTCTAAGGGTTCTATTCATTTTTTTCATTTTGTTTCTTCTCTTTTCTTTGGATGCACTCAACTCTATTATTGTATCTTCAAGTACACTGATTATTTAGCCTGCCAGCTCAAATCTATGATTGAGACCCTCTAATAAATTTCAACTCCAGAATTTCCATTTATTTCATGGAATATAGTTCATTTATATAGTTATATGTCACTTAATGATGGAGATATGTTCTGAGAAATGAGTTGTAAGGCGATTTTGCCATTGTGCAAACATCAAAGAGTCTACTTACACAAACCTGGATAGTAGCACCTACTACACACCTAGGCTTTATGGTTTGCCATGATAGTCTTATGGGACCACTGTCATATATGCAATCATCTTTGACTGAAATACTATGAAGTACATGACTGCGTGTGTGTATATACATATGTATATACATGTATATATGTATATATATGTGTATATATGTATATATGTGTATATATACACACACAGTCATGTGCTGCATATATATGTGCTGTATATATATATACACACACACACATATATAATTATGCATGTGTGTAAAATTTCAATCTTTTCTCTTTACTGACATTCTCCATTTGAGACATTCTGTTCATATCTTCCTTTACCTCTTTAAACATGGTTTCATTTAGTTCTCTGGACGTATTTGTAATGGCTATTTCAAAGTCTTTAATAAATCTGACATCTGCTCCTCTTTCCAGGCAGTTTTTGCAGCTTTTTTCCCCCTCCTGTATATGAGTCACACTTTCTCGCTTCTTTAGATGTCTTAAAATTTTTTGTTGGAAATTGGTTATTTTAGGGAATATATTGTAGCAATTCTGGGTACAGATTTGCTTCCTCCCTCTTCTGAGCTTGTTTTTGATATTGTTTGCTTATTTTGTGACTTGGCTAGGATATTTTAGTAAATTATATTTGTTCCACTCTGTGAAGCTTTTGATGCCACTCTTCAGAGGGTACAGCCTTGGGCATTCACACCGTCACCCTGGGATGACAGTGAATTTGGCAAGGCTCTCTTTGTCTTTTTCTCTACTCTCTCTGTTAAACTGTGTGCCTCATTCTGTGTTACATGCCAGCCCATTAGCCTCCAGTAATTATCAACTAATTACTCTATTGTTTTAAAAAATGCTCTAGAGTATAAATTGCTCAGCAGTCTGATCCAATTAAATTCAGGCAGAGACAGTTTTAAGGGCTCTTCTTACTTGTCCCTTGTTCTGGTTCTCGCTGGTGAACTAGATGTCCTGAAGTTCAGCTTGTTGCTCTTAATTTAGAGAAGAAATTATTTTCAAGAGCAGCATTAGGCTTGAACCTTATGTTTCAAATAAAGTTAGTTTCTTTGGGGAGGATTTCAGAGTTTTTTCTTACAGACTGCCTTTTCCCCTGGGCAGTCTCCAAGCCACTATTCTAGGAGCTGAGCAGAGCAGTAGCTTCCAGTCTTCTTGGCTTGCCTCTTCTCTTGTGAAACCTCTCCCCTATAATAAGTTGCAACGAGGGAAATTAGGGTATCAATATTCTTGTCTTGCTGAACCTAATATAAAGCCTCTTTCTTATGCATGAAGAAGACTGGGTGAAGTAAGGGAGCCCCCAGCCTCTCAGCCACAATCACCAGGAAATTAGTCTTTTAAATTTGAGTTGAAGGGGATTAGAAATGCTGGCAGACTGCCCCTACTAATAAGATACAGTAACCCTTGATTGGAAGCTTAGGGGAGAGGGAGTCCCATCATCTTGGCCACATCTGCACAAAGTTCAGCTTACCTTATGTTGCACTTGAGGGGAAGATGGCATGAGTCATGACTCAAGTGGAAATCTCTGTAATAGTTCATTGTTTAAGAGTTATTTTGATGCCAGCCTTCAGGATTTTTTTCCCATTTTACTACATTCACTTTTGTCCAAATCAACATTTGGCCTAACTTCTCATATAGAATACCTTGCCTTCAAGTAAATTTATTCCAAATTACTTCAGATAAAATCATACGCTTTCTGGACTAGAAGCTTGACTGAGTGCTTTGTGCTATATTATGCTTCTTTCTATTAATATACCACTCCACGTTAACACATGCTCAACTGTTGATGCACTGTCATTTATAAAAGTCTTTCAGATGAGTTCTAAAAATAAATATAAGAGAAAATTAAATTTTAAACTGGAAAAAATAGGTAAGAACAAAATAGGGTAAGAAAGTGAGATATAGTGAGATGAACATACAAAATCTATGCCACAAATTCATATATACTCACTTGCTAAAGGTATAGTATACATTCATCTTAAAATAATGCTGAAAGCCACAATTTACTGCTTAAAAACAAACTAGTTGCAGGGGAAAAAGTTATTCCCGGTAAAGTTATAAGACAATTTTTCTAAAGCCATCATAAAGAAGATAGGATATAATGTAATGAATAACCTCCTGAATGTAAAAATAATAAACAGTTTCATGGGGCAGTCTTTTACACTCAATATAAATATATGACATTACAACAAACATTGATAGATTTTGTGTGACACCAATAAAATGTAGCCCTGGCATTCAGCTTTCTAATAGTCTGGCTGCTACAGAAACAAGCTTTTTGTGCGTCTTTTAAGAAGTGGTTCTATCATGGGCAATACTACCTTCTAGGTAACATCTAGAAATGCATGGATGTGCTTCTGTTTGTCATAATGTCTAGGGTTCTGATAACGGACATTCAGTGCCCAGGGTCCAGGGTTGCTAAATATATTCCTCAATTCCGAGAGAGTACCTCATAAGTAAGAACTGTTGTTCTCAAGATAACAGTATCACAACCTCTCCTGCCTTGAGAAATACTGATCTAGAATTTTGAATTTCAAGCTATGCTCCACAGAAATGACTCATAAGCTATCATATGTGTGAGATGTGTGAGTCTGCATATCATGTGTGTGTGTGTGTGTGTATATATATATCTGTGTGTGTTAGTGTTTGGGAAGTAAGAGGGGGTGCGTCTGCCTCCCTAGACTGACCAGAGCAGCTCCATTTTTACCTGTTTTGTATATTAGACATCCGAATAAGAAAGACATAGTTTAAACAAGAAGGAAAAATATAAATTTATTCATCAGAATCCCAGGGTGGCTTAGAAAAAGGAATCTTAGAAGAAGCAGCTATGGGAGAGAAGCAGAAGCACATCCATGCATTTATGTTGCCTAGCAGGTGGCACTGCCCCTGATAGTTAGAATCACTTCTTAAAACACATAAAAATATTATTTCTGCAGCAGCCAAACCATTAGAGTGCTGAATTCCAGGGCAGTATTTTATTGATATCACATAAAACATTGTCAGGGGTTGGAGGTTAAGTGGGAGGCTGCAGAAGATAGAGATGTGGTAGGGTGGAAATGGAAGACAGAATGAGAGAAGAAAGGACATGGCAGAAATAAAGTTCTTACAATGAAATCACCTTTTCCCCTATATCTTTAGAAAAATAAACTCACAAAAGGCTTGGCTGTTGTATTAATTATCTAATTTGTATAACAAATCACTCCAAAACTCACTGCCATTTATTATCTCTCACAGTTCCTCTGGGTTAGGAATTTGTTAGTGGCATGGCTGGGTATAACTGGCTCATGGTTTCTCATGAAGTTGCAGTCAAATGGCAGCTGCAGGTTCAGTCAGTCAGTCAGCTAGTCATCTAAGTTCAGTCAGTCCTGTCCTCTAAAGAGTTGACTAGGATTGTAGGATCCACTTCCAGGGTGGTTTGTTCACTACACGGCTGTCAAGTAAACACTGGCTGTTGTAGCAGGCCTCAGTTCCTCTTCATGTGGACGTCTCCTCAGAGCTTCCTGTGTGCTCTCATGGAGGCTGGCTTCCCCCAGAGAGAACAATCCAAGAAACCAAGATGAAAGCTTAAATGCCTTTATACCTAGCCTTGCAAAGCCTGTATCATTACTTTACTGCCACCACATTTTATTGGTCATACAGAAGGGCCATGATTCAATGTGAGTAGGAGCTACAAAAGGGTGTGAATGTCAAGAGGCAAAGATTATTGGGAGCATCTTAGAGGCTGGCTACCACAGCCATAGTACTTTTTATATGCTTGTTTGTGTATCTGTCTGTATGTTAGTGGAAGTGAACAAATCCAGGAGCAGAAGTAGACACAGAGTTAATTCTTTGTATTTACTGTTGAATTCAATTTTCTAATATTTTGTTGAGGCTATTTGGATATATTTTCATGAGAGAGACTGGTCTGTAGTTTTCTTTTCTTATAATGTCCTTGTCTTATTTTGGCATTAGGGTAATGCTGGCCTGAAAGAATGAGTTAGGAAGTATTTCCTCTGCTTCTATCTTCTGAAAGAAACTTGCAGATAATTGATATAATTTCTTCCTTAAATGTTTGGTAAAATTCACCAGTGAACCTATCTGGGCCTGGTACTTTCTGTTTTGGAAGGCTATTAATTATTGATTCCATTTCTTTAATAGTTATAGGTCTATTCAGATTATCTATTTTCTCCTTTGTGAGTTTTGGCAGTGGTTATTGTTTTTAATTGAAATTCCTTTAAGGCATTAGACCAGTTGACACATAACCTGAAGTCTATGTGTTCAATCAGAAACATACCTCAAATGTAAGAGACAGGTGGGGCTGTGTGCTTTCCTGTTTGGCAAAATATCTATTATATTTTTGTATCAATGTAATAGAGTTCAAATATAATAAATCATGGCTACTTCTTGGCTAGTACATTGATCACAAGTTGTTTATATTTGGGGGCCTACTGAGATTATTATCCATGGGTACCATTATGTTTAAATTAGACTCTAAATGAGTATCCTGAAAATCTCAAAATCTGTATAGACTGTTAGCTATTAGCAAAGCATTACTTCTGTTTACACAACTCTCCCTATATACATTATCATCTATACTCCTAGGGACTGCTATATCTCTTGGTACCACTAGCTTCCTATCCAATATTCACTCTTCCATTGTTTTATTAAAGCAACCCTAATTTTGTTTGGAGCAGCAAAGTCTCTGGCTAAAAAACATTTCTCCTGAAGCTTTCTTTGCAACTATGAGTTCTAGCTAAAGCTTAGTAGGGGATGTTGGTAAAGTTTACTTTCATGATAGAGGCACAGTACCTTCTTCCTTGTCCCTTCCCAATTTCTTTTACCTCCCTGGATGATAGACATAAGAATGGTGATAGAGCAGTCACCTTGCTATCAAGAGATGACCAGGAAGATGAAAACCACATACAAAGATGATGGGACACAAAGACAGAAGCCTGGAACATTTATGGCATTAGAGATGAACCACAGTCAAGTTGTTGGAGACGAGTTTCTGTTATATTCCATCAAATACAATCCTAGGATATCTCACACCTTCCTGAAAACCCTAGTTCAAACCTATTTCTTCAGTAAGCCTTCTGGGATGTAATAATAATAACTCTTGCATGGGACTTTATTGTTTGCAAAGTACTTTCACATACTTTATATCTTTCGATATTCACATCAGTCCTGTGGCCAGAATACCCTTCTCTTCATATTCTCACCTCTCTGGAGTTGATGCCATCCATCCCTATACTGTAAACCACACTGTAGAACAATGACTCCCAAGCAGCTGCCTCCAATCTTGACCTCTCTTGAGCTCTAGATTTGTTTTCCAACTGAATTCTGGGCACCCAGCTCAAAGACGAGTACTTGAAACATCTAAACTGTGTATAACTTAACCTGTTATTTTCTCATTTCAGGTCCCTAAACACTGCTCTTAATCCAGTATTATTTTAATAAATCTCAGTTAATATAATCACTCAAACTGACAAGCTAGAAATTTCAGAGTTATCCTCAATTCCATGCTCTCTATAACTTCCCAAAACAATCAGGAATCAAATCCTAGATCACGGCCACTGCCATGAGATTAGGTTCTCATCATTTTTCTGGTGGACTACTGTTAAGATCATTTAACTGGCCTTCTGCAGAAAGGCATCCTAAAAGATAAATCAACTATTTTTATTTATTCATTCACCAAATAGTTAAATGACTAGTCTTCTGCAGAAAGGAACTCTAAAAAAGAAATCAATTATCTTTTATTTATTCATTCACCAGATAGGTATAGAGCACCTGCTACATAATAAATATTATAATGTTAAAAATATGGTTTCAACAAAAAAACTTGCCATGTTATAGTAAGAAGCTAGTAATCCTAAAGTCGATATAGATTTAGCAAGTGATTTATTATATTACTGTTGAAAACGCAATGAAAGTAATAGGAATAAAATAATTTACTAAGGTGGTATATTTTTTAAAGAGATTTGTTTTCTTTGGTATTGTAATGAATCAGCAGGAAACATTTTAAAGAAATGAATTCATTTGGTTTTATGGAAATATAAGCAAAAATAAAAAGTGTGATATATAGTTTAGAACATTAATTTCTAAAATACATTCTGTAAAATACTGCTTCTTGGGATGAAACTACCTCGAAAAGCTTTCTGTTGTGAAATGTTTGAGAAACCACTGGATTAGACAAAAATAAGTAGGTTTGCATATACTAAGATTTCTCAGTGTTAATATTCTCATATATACTCTACATCTCTCTGAGTAGCAGTGTGACATGTAGTACTTTAAAATTTATTGACTAAAGAAATCTTTAGAACATCATCTCCTAGAACTACATACAGGACACATTTTGGAAAATGTTAAGCATTTGTGAGCAGACACTTTACCAGGAGCTCTGGATGGACAATGAACTTCAAGACAGGAACATTTATCAAATTTATCATAACAATGAATGATTCTGATAATGAATCAGACGTTCAGCAAGAATATAGCACTACTCATTAAGATCATAAGGGTCCATGCAGAATAGGTCTTAGTGAAATAAAAATCTGCTACCTTCAATCAAGTATGTATGTGGATTACCCAAACCAAGAATGTTTATACTTTAAAGAGAAATGTTTCAGCTCATGAAATGGCTCCAGCAGTCTGCCTGGGTGCTTGGCAGTTCATCTGCAACCTGGCACAGACCCAGATTTCTTTTTTTAGTTTTACTATTAATTCTTCATGTATTTTTTTAAAGTTCCAATAAAAATGAGGTTGAAACTGTATACTTTAAAAGACAATTTCTGAAAAACAGATAATATTAAAATTATATCAAGACTTTGGAAAGGTAACATGCATTAGAGAATATAAGATTTAGACTCTAACCTGAGGAAGCAAATTATTTGACCAACCAAATGATAGAATTTGTTCAGACATACTGTTAAGATGGTAAGGTAAATAAGAGACTCTTACTACAGTCTTATCCCCTCCTAGAAATTTTTCTAATAGACAACTTGGATATTTTTCTCAAGATTAACGGCTTTTAAAAATTGTTTTATTACACATCTCCAATATACCCCCCTCTCTCTTTCACACACACACACACACACACACACACACACAGAGCGCCAAATTTTTGAACCTTCTCTTTTGAAGTCCAAGAGTCTTCATACTAAATAAATAATAAATAAATAAAAATCAAAAAGGTGCAATTTCACCAACCACAGAGGATGTGTGAAGACTGGTCTTCTGAATTCAAGGTTGCCCCAGGATAAGCGAGTCCAGGGGAGATTAAATGAATTTCCCTATTCATAGCAATAAGAAAGTTCCCACCTCCTTTATTCTCCCCAACAAAAAAGCTTCCCCTATCAAACGACCTGGTGGCTTTTCCAGGATGGACTGCTTAGACTCTTAGGAGGGGCCCAGATAGCAGGCCCAGCCTGGGGTTGCGAGTAGTGTTTCTTCTAACAAAGCTATGGCACCCTGAGAAAGGAGGCTCAGTATTCCCCTGTGAGGATCTTTGTGGGTCTTTCAGTTGCCCTAGGATGGTGAATATGACAATAACCTGAGCTCCCAAATCATCTGAAGCAGGACCTCTTAATCACTCACCGCTGCGCTCTGAGCCGCTGGGAACCAAGGCTGGTTGCTAAGGACGCTGTGGGAGTCGCTCTGAGACAGACGTTGCTCTTTTACGGTCTCGTGACCAGGGCTTAGCCAATCAGGACTTATAAGTGAATTTCCACCTGCCCTGTCCCGTCTCCACCACATTTGTGTTCAATTTCTAAAGAATAAATGCAATGTTGTGTGAAAGACCTTTATTCGTTTTTAAAGAACATAGTAATGATTTGTTTCGAATATTGTACATACTTGCATATCCTGCAAGAAGCCACGGCAAGAAGCGGCTTCACAGTGCTTTAATGTCTCCTCAGTGTCTTAATGCTGCTTCCCCAAAACAAACCAGCACGCCTATCATACCAAAAGTAGCTATGTCTTTAAATTAAATTGCCGTTCGTAAGTTCCTTTTACATAGAAAATTTGGAGCAGTCAGTGTCCTCAGCACCCGTCAGTGAGTAAACAAAGCACCTAGAATGTTCTGCTATGTACTAAACACCAGAGGGCGAATTTAAACACAAAAGAACGCCTCTTTTTAAAGGTAGTATGCAATAGAATTATCTAATATAAGTCCTTTAAAAATCCTTGTAGAATTCCTATGTCTACTAACGAGCAACTGTATATATTTTACAAAGGTTCACCAGTGTAAAATACTATATGGAAGAATGGGGAAGGGCATTTATGATTAAATTCATACGTAGGCCGGGCGCAGTGGCTCATGCCTGTTATCCCAGCACTTTGGGAGGCCAAGGTGGGCGGATCACGAGGTCAGGAGTTCGAGACCATCCTGGCTAACATGGTGAAACCCGTCTCTACTAAAAATACAAAAGTTAGCCAGGCGTGGTGGCACCCACCTATAATCCCAGCTACTCAGGAGGCTGAGGCAGGAGAATTGCTTGAACCCAGGAGATGGAGGTTGCAGTGAGCCGAGATCATGCCACTGCACCCCAGCCTGGGAAACAGAGCGAGATTCCATCTAAAGAAAAAAAAAATACTAAAACGTAATATACAGGGATTGTCCTGTGAAATGACCTGCCTTTAAAAATTAGAACTTTGAAAGAAAATTTAACTTGAACTACTTCGATTCGGAATTAAGTTTTTTTGTTTTTTGAGTGCATTTTTATGTTTAAAACAGAAATTACAATATGTGATCTCAGGCTTCTCTGACGTATCACTCCTAGAAGATCAGTAAGTTAAAGGTAATAATGAAAAGTGAAATTGACAAAGACTATAAACTACATATGTGAGAGAACAAATCCTAGAATATCAACAGTGCTTACCATAATCCAGATAAAATAAAAATGAAAAGACTGTGGTATTTAATAATAGCCTGGGGGCTTGCTTGTTTTAATTTCAAGAGATCTAGAAAAGTGTTAAAAGCATAAAAAAATACAAACTGTTAACCAGGTTATTCATAATCAAATGAAGATTGAATTAAAAAGGAATAAAAGGAAGGCCGAATAAAAAATTCTTCTCCATAATATAAGAATCAGTTGAAACTATAGCATGTTTAGAGAAAAAAAGTCACCCCATCGATTCTACAGTGAAGACAACAGAACAAGTTTATATAAGGAAGAATTCACAAATACATATATATATATATTACACATATCTACTTATTCTAAATATATCTACTGATTTTATATATGTATCTACTGATTTTATTTATATATATATCAGTAGAATGAAAGATTACAGAAAAAGCATAAAATTTATATATGATAAATTTGCCATTTTAACTCAGTGGGGAAAAACTGTACAGAGGCTGAGCACAATTTGAAAGAAAATAAATCTGAACTACTATCTCATACCATAGCAACAATAAATCTCAGAGGAATGAAGCTTAAAACAGGAAATAATTTTAAATAATTTTAAGATAATATTGGTATAACCTTAGAGTCACAATAATATTAAGCTAATAGGAGACCCACAATGATTTTAAAAAATGACAAGAATATTTAGAAAATTTATGTAAGAAAAATAAATCTAATAAAGTCATACCTCCCCTTTCTCCCTTTAATTAGTCATCTACATTGAAGTTTTGACAAGACAAATCTAATTTTTTCAAATTATTATATATATACCTATATATATATAATCCTAAAATGGCCATTAATTAGCAATTAGGAAAATAAGCATGTCAAAACCATCCTAACCCCTTAGTATGGCACAATTATGCTTTCAGAAACTATATCATTGCCTACTTGCCCAGTTTTTTTCTGCTTTTTTTTTTTTTACCAGTCTTTTTTATTTTATTTTATTATTATTTTTTGAGATGAAGTCTCGCTTTTGTCCCCCAGGCTGGAGTGCAATGGAGCGATCTCAGCTCATTGCAACCTCCACCTCCTGGGTTCAAGCGATTCTCCTGCCTCAGCCTCCCGAGTACCTGGGATTACAGGCGCCTGCCACCACGCCTGGGTAATTTTTGTATTTTTGGTAGAGACAGGGTTTCACCATGTTGGCCAGGCTGATCTCGAACTCCTGACCTCAGGTAATCCACCCACCTTGGCATCCCAAAGTGCTGGGATTAAAGGCGTGAGCCACCGTGCCTGGCCCAGTCTTCTTTATTTTTAAAACTTTTTCCACTGCTATGTAATCAATTAAAAAATATTTTAAGTTTCCTAAACATATCATGAGCTCTCGTTTCTTAATAACCTCATGCATGCTCTTCCTCTGTCTGAAAATATACTTGCCCACTCACTCCTCAACTGCTGCCACAAACTCACACAAACGCATACCACCCCCTGCTCCCTAATAACCACACACCAGGTAAATGCTTACTCTTGATCAAGACTCGGATGTTAGACATTTGTCAACATTTTGGATCTGGAGAATCCAATCACCCTTCCATGCTACCTGGGGAATTCTTCATGTAATATGAATGGGAAGTGGTGTTTCATCATCCACTACAAAAGCCAAAAACGGCAGATTATATTTTCTCAGAACTCTGTGTTGGAATATGACAGAAGTTTGGCCAAGTATGTGTTCTAGTTTAAGAATTTGAATTTTTAGCAGATAATATCAAGATGAAAGTAGCAATAACTGTGCCTTGGGCCATGATAGCAGCACCCTTACAGATTTTCCTGCCAAAAGACAGTTGTGGTACCTCCTGCTTCTTGGTCCTCTAGAACAGCATTTTTTTTTCCTGTCCATTTCAATCCTTGACTTACAGCCTTCCATCAATTCTATAAACCCTGATTATCCTGTCAAATCTTCTGTTTAAAGTAACAAATTGAGTTTCTGTTATCTTCAACCAAAGTGACACATTCACCTGGGAAGACACCTCATTTTAGAAGCCTTCCAACGCAATGACTGTTCTCTCAGGATAACTTAGAAGACATCCTTCAATGTTTCCTTAGCATTCTGAGTGCTCTTATATAGCACTTATCAAAATTTTACCTAGAGAAATCTACCTAGTGAGTACTCATTAAAAAGTCAGGAAAGAGATGAAACTATTAGTAAGTTACACAATTTAAAATATGCATTATATTTTCTTCAATCATATTTCTCAAACCTTAAGCTTCAGTCCTCCAGTTGCTTGGAATCAAGGCTATTAGCATCTTCACTGACACGATTCAAATTAGTCCATAATACTGCAATTACCTTCCTAGATTAGAATTGATTTTCCAGGGAAAACAATCTGACACCAAAAGTGAATCATAGGAAAAAACTATAGCCATGAAAAAATATTTATCAGTTTGAACTGTTGCATTAGAATTAATATTGATTTTGTAATTTAACAACTTTCTAGATGACAATTTCTTAACTATTTTTGATATTATGTGATATCAGTTTAGTTTTGCCATGGAGTGTATAACTTAATTGTAAATAATTTCTATTTGATACTGTATTAGTTTGTTTTCATGCTGCTGATAAGTACATACCCAAAACTGGGAACAAAATGAGGTTTAATTGGACTTACAGTTCCACATGGCTAGGGAGGCCTCAGAATCATGGCGGGAGGTGAAAGGCACTTCTTACATGGTGAAAGCAAGATAAAAATGAGGAGGAAGTAAAAGCAGAAACCCCTGATAAACCCATTAGATCTTGTGAGACTTATTCACCATCACGAGAATAGCACAGGAAAGACTGGCCCCCATGATTCAATTACCTCCCCCAGGTCCCTCCTACAATACACGGGAATTCTGGGAGATATAATTCAAGTTAAGATTTGGGTGGAGACACAGCCAAACCAGATCATTCTGCCCCTGGCCCCTCCAAATCTCATGTCCTCACATTTAAAAACCAATCACGCCTTCCCAACAGTACCCTAAAGTCTTAACTCATTTCAGCATTAACCGAAATGTCCACAGTCCAAAGTCTCATCTGCAACAAGCCAAGTCCCTTATGCCTATGAGCCTGTAAAATCAAAAGCAAGCTAGTTACTTCCTAGATACAAAGGGGGTTCAGGTATTGGGTAAATACAGCCATTCCAAATGGAAGAAATTGGCCAAAACAAAGGGGTTACAGGGCCCATGCAAGTCTGAAATCCACTGGGGCAGTCAAATTTTAAAGCTCCAAAATGATCTCCTTTGATGCCAGGTCTCACCTCCAGGTCATGGTCTTCGGCAGCTCCACCCCTGTGGCTGTGCAGGTTATAGCCTCCCTCCTGGCTGCTTTCATGGGCTAGCATTGAATGTCTGCAGCTTCTCCAGGTGCACAGTGCAAGCTGTTGGTGGACCTAACATTCTGGGGTCTGGAGGATGGTGGCCCTCTTCTCATAGCTCCAATAGTCAGTACCCCAGTAGGGACTCTGTGTGGGGGCTCTTGCCCCACCTTTCCCTTCCACACTGCCCTAGCAGGGGTTCTCCATGAGGGCCCCACCCCTGCAGCAGACTTTTGCCTGGGCACCCAGGTGTTTCCATACATCTTCGGAAATCTAGGCAGAGGTTGCCAAACCTCAATTCTTGACTTCTGTGCACCTGCAGGCTCAACACCACATGGAAGCTGCTAAGGCTTAGGGTTTCCACCCTCTGAAGCCACAGCCCAAGCTCTACACTGGCCCCTTTCAGCCATGGCCGGAGCAGCTGGGACACAGGACACCAAGTCCCTAGGCTGCACACAGCATGGGGACTCTGGGGCCAGCCCACAAAACCACTTTTTCCTCCTGGGCCTCTAGGCCTGTGATGGAAGGATGCCATGAAAGTCTCCAACATGGCCTGGAGACATTTTCCCCATGGTCTTGGGGATTAACATTAGGCTCCTTGCTTCCTATGCAAATTTCTGTGGCCAGCTTGAATTTCTCCTCAAAAAATAGGTTTTTCTTTTCTACTGCATCATCAGGCTGCAAATTTTCTGAACTTTTATGCTCTGTTTCCCTTTTAAAATTGAATGCTTTTAACAGCACCCAAGTCACCTTTTGAATGCCTCGCTGCTTAGAAATTTCTTCCACTAGATACTGTAAATCATCTCTCTCAAGTTCAAAGTTCCACAAATCTCTAGGGCAAAGGCAAAATGCCACTAGTCTCTTTGCTGAAATATAACAAGAGTCACCTTTGTCCCAATTCCGAAGAAGTTCCTCATATTCATCTGAGACCACCTCAGCCTGGACCTTATTATTCATATCATTATCAGCATTTTGTCAAAGCCACTGACAAGTCTCTAAGAGGTTCCAAACTTTCCCATATTTTCCTGTCTTCTTCTGAGCCCTCCAAACTATTCCAACTTCTGCCTATTACCCAGTTCCAAAGTCGCTTCCACATTTTTGGTTATCTTTTCAGCAACGTCCTACTCTATTGGTACCAACTCACTGTATTAGCGCATTTTCATGCTGCTGATAAAGACATACCCAAAACTGGGAACAAAAAGAGGTTTAATTGGACTTACAGTTCCACATGGCTGCAGAGGCCTCAGAATCATGGCAGGAGGTGAAAGGCACTTCTTACATGACAGTGGCAAGAGAAAAATGAGGAATAAGAAAAAGCGGAAACCCCTGATAAGCCCATCAGATTTTGTGAGACTTATTCACTATCAAGAGAATAGCATGGGAACGACCAGCTCCCATGATTCAATTACCTCCCCCTGGGTCCCTCCCACAACATGTGTGAATTCTGGGAGATACAATTCAAGTTGAGATTTGGGTGGGGACACAACGAACCATATCAGATACCTCTCTTCATGTTGCCAAATATTTAGAGTTCTCATTAGGATTTTTAAATGCTACTGGGAATAAATGGAACAGTATCTGAAATTTTTATTTGTCAAAAAGAGAAAGGAAAGCTAATCAAATGTAAAATAATAGCAGAGAAAACAGACAACATACAGAATGAGAGAAAATATTTGCAAACTGTGTACCTGACAAAAGTCTAATATCCAGTATCTACAAGGAACTTAAACAAATATATATGAAAACAACAAACAATTTCACTAAATAATAGGCAAAGGACATGAACAGAAACTTTTCAAAAGAAGACATACATGTGGCCAACATGTATATGAAAAAAAGCTCAACATCACTGATCATCAGCGAAATGCAAATCAAAAGCACAATGAGTTCCCATCTCATGCCAGTCAGAATGGCTATTATTAAAAAGTAAAAAATAATAATAATAATAACAACAGATGCTGGTGAGGTTTGCAGTGAAAAGGGAACAAACTCTTACATACCGTTGGGTGGGAGTGTAAATTAGTTCAACCACTGTGGACAGCAGTGCGTTGGTTCCTCAAAGAGCCAAAATCAGAACTACCACTTGACCCAGAAATCCCATTACTAGGTATATAACCAAAGGAATATAAATCATTCTACAATAAAGACACATGCACAGGTATGTTCATTGCACCACTATTCACAATAGCAAAGACACGGAATCAACCTAAATGCCCATCACTGCCCATAAATATGGTACATGTACACCATGGAATACTATGCAGCCATAAAAAAGAACAAGATCATGTCCTTTGCAGGAACATGGATGGAGCTGGAGGCCATTATCCTTAGCAAACTAACGCAGGAACAGAAAACAAAATACCGCATGTTCTCACTTATAAGTGGAAGCTAAATGATGAGAACACAGAGACACAAAGAGGGGACCAACAGACACTGGGGCCTACTTGAGGGTGAAGGGTGGGAGGAGAGAGAGGATCAGAAAAAAAACCTATTGGGTGCTAGGCTTAGTACCTGGGTGATGAAATAACCTGTACAACAAACCCCTGTGACATAAATTTAGCTACATAATAAACCTGCACATGTACCCTTGAACCTAAAATAAACTTTTTTAAAAAGTCAAATGATATTAAAATGGTCATTCAACTTATAAAAATCCAGTAGAGGTTAAAGAAGATAAAGCAAGATTTTAAGAAATTTATATTGCATTTACTCAGATTATTTCTTGTACCAATGGGTTAATTTTCACAGCATTTTTAAACTTACTAAAAGATAAAATTTCTCTTACACAGTTAGTTGACATGTTTGTGATGATAGTATTTAATCCTACAGTGGACACTTTAAAAATAAAATTCAATTAAAATTCTGCATAAGCATCATGTTAGTCACCTATCACCAAAATAATCTTAGTGGTTTAAAATACAAGTATTTATTTTTCTCATTCACTCCTCTGCGTGCAGGTTGGCTAGATTTTGGTGATGTTGGCTGGGTTCACCTGGGATTGTCCCCAGAATTCCAGCTGGGTTCAGGTCTGCTCCAAATATCTCCTTCTGGAGCCCAGAGTGAAGGGGTAGTGGTTATTCAGGAGGTGCTTCTCATGGTTATGGCAGAAGCCCAAGCGGGCAAGCCAACTGAGCAAAGCCTCTGTTTGGGTCACACCTGCTAACTAACACCTTTCTGCCCAAGGATATCACTCTACCAACTACCCAAAGGGCAGGAAAGTCCACTCTGCCCATCATGAGGCTATGACAAGGGTATGGACATACAGTATAATACTATGGTAGAGGGATGAAAAATTAAGTCCAATAATTCGGGAATCACCATCTTCTGAACATAAATGCTATAGCCTATCAAGTAGAAAAAGAATAAACTCGGCAATTAAGAAAATTTATACCCAATTCACAATTTAAAATATTCTTGGTTGCTTCCATTTACTGTGTGTGTCCCATTAAGTGTGTAGATGTTAAATATGCTTTGCCTAACTTCCCTAACAATGTAATCAGGATCAAATGCACCATAGTGGATTGTTATATCACATCATTTTACAAAAACAAAAGAAAACAAAAACACCTCTATTGTTTGAAAGATATTTTTAAAATTGCTTATTTCAAGTTATTTTACATGTAAAATATTTAAAATATTACTAAATTTCACCTTTTAAAATACTTACCAGGCAGGGCGCAGTGGCTCACTCCTGTAATCCCAGCACTTTGGGAGACCGAGGTGGGCAGATTGCTTGAGCCAGTTCAAGACCAGCCTTGGCAACACAGTGATGCCCTGTCTCTAAAAAAGATATAAATAAAATAGTGTATAGTTGCATCACAGTACCCAATACAGTGGTTTACACATAGTAGGTGCTTAATATATGTTGCTGAGTGAATTCTTGAATAAAAAATATAGGTGATTTTTATTTTATCCTGTGAGCTGAATTTATTTAGCATCAGAATTTTTGAGCAAAATGTTAACATAAATGAATGACTTGCTTGCTCTGCACAGGCACTTTTGTTTGGTAGGACCATAGCATTCTGTGCCAACTCTTGAAAACTGTTGAAACAATCTGCAACTTTTCATTTGTATTTCAACTCAACAATAATAATGACTGGACTTTCGAAAATATGTATTAAGCCCGTTGGGGGGTGGTTATACTATTTCTATCATATTATTTTCAAGGAAAATTAATCCTTTATTTACTAAGGAACAAAGTAAAAAACTATATTATTCTGTTAATATTTGGGCTAAAAATTTCCTTATTATTAGTTTTGGTGCCTAATAATATCCTCCACCCATTAATTGTTATATAGTGATTTAATATTTTAGTCATTTTAATGATATAAATGCTATTGTTTGATAATCCTCCCTTTAAAAGATAGAGTCAAATCCTCTTCCCCTTTAAGTGCAGGGTTGGACTTAGTGACTCTCTTCCAAAAAAATAGAACATGGCAGAAGTGATGAGGTGTAATTAGGTCATAAACGACATTGTGTTTCCCCCTTGCTGTCTGTCTCCCAGCTGTTAAGTCATAAGGACATTCAAGATGTTCTATGAACTTCATGTGGCAAGGAATTGAAACCTCATTAACAGCAATCAGCAAGAAATAAAGACATTCTTTCTATAGCTGTCTGAGTAAGAGATCTTAGAAGGGGATCCTCCAGCCCTAATCAAACTCAGTCATGTCTAAAATGACTGCATTCCAAGTAGAAGTCTTAACTAGAACCTCATGGGAAACCTAAGGCAGAACTATCCAGCGAAGCCACTCTGAAATTTTTAAATTACAGAAACTATGAGATATTAAATGTTGTTTTAAGCTGCCCAATTTGTTATGGGGGTAATTCATTGTGCCACAATAGAAACTAATACAAACATTCTGTTGTTTTCATAAAATGCATTGGCCACTTTATAAATTCATGTTTTAATTCCTGTGTTATGAGTTTCTCAAACTAGTTTGAAGCAATAAACTCTGGACGATTTCAGCATAATTATTTTAGAAATATTTTGGAGAAATACAGGATGATAGAGCTTTCATAGTGCTCTAGAGACTACTGATTAAATGATATGAACAGATTTAGTAATCTAGAAAGATCTTTATTGCTGTGTCTGCCCATAACCAAATTTGCTCTAATTTTTTTCTAAAATAATTTTTCTTCTTACAAAAAAAAGCTAAGTTTTTAGAGCAATTAAATAAAAAGTGAAACTATGCAAGCCCGTGCTCAGACATAATACTATCATTTTAGCACATTCTTCTATTGTGTATCTTTAGTAGAATTTTTAAAAGGTAAGTTCATACTGTACATGTTTTAAATTGAACATGAATATTTTCATGTCATTTAATACTCATCTCTAATGTAATCTATAAACATCTTCACTCTAAACCCTTCTCATCTCCATTACACTATCACTCGAGATGAAATTATTACTATTTTTTGCCTCAGCTGCTTGCCTTTAGTAGGTGGAAGCCTTTACTCTTCCCCATACAGAGCCAGGTGGATTCCTATAAAACATCAATACAGTCACATTACTCCTCTACTCTCAAAAAACCTAAATTTTGTTCACCACCGACAAGGCTTTGCAAGATCTGGCACCTAGCCTCCTTTCAGCTCTCATTTCCTATCACTTTCACCCTTTCTCACTGGCTACCTAGTTTGCTATCGGGGCGTTTCTCTTGCTCAGCTCTGCCTGGAAAACTTCTCCCACATATTCACAAATGGCTCACTCCCTCACTTCATTCAGTTCTCTGCTCAAAGGTCACTTCTTCAGAGAGGACTTCCTTATTCTAAAAAAAAAAAAAAAAAGCTTCCTTTATTGCTCACTTAGGCTTTTTTAATACAATCATGTCATTATTTGACATTGCACTATATTTGACAGGATATATTTATCTGTTCTTTGTCTCCCTAAACTAGAATGTCAGTTCTAACAATGCAAGCACCTTGTCTGGCTTATTTATCATTCTATCCTTATTGCTTAAAATAGTATCTGACACGAGATAGGTGCTTAATAAATATATTTTTGTTAAACAACTGTATGGATATACACTTTAAATAATAAATTATTAATCAATAATAATTATTTGATATTTGCATTCCTGCTTATTTTTTTCCTATTATGAGCAAGCATGCCATAAACATATGTATGTTATCCATGCCAGAAACATGTAAAAAACCCCTATATTTGTTTTCTAAGATTTTGGAGTCAAAAAATATGGTTATTTTTACAGTTTTTGATACATAGTGCCAAACTGCTCTCCATCAGAAAGTTATGTTTTATATCACTTCAGAAATTAATGAAAGCTACTTTCTTCTCACCTGGAAAGACAATGTGCATTTTCCCTTTTAAACACCTTAATACGTGAAAGATAATTAAGATTTACCTTTTTTCAATTAGTAAAGGACTTTTTATATGATATTATCTATTTACACTTCCTTTTTTTGTATGAATTGCCTCTACATGTCCTTTGCTCATATTTCTGATTTGCCTTTATTCATTGGTATGAACTCTTTGTACATTAAAGCTACTGTTCCATTGTTTAAACCATGTTAAAATGTCATTTTTCTGTTTGTGATTTGCCTTTCAATTGTGATTACTATATATTTTAAAATTTACTATATGGACATTTAAATTTTATACAGTCAAGAGACTCAACACCTTTGCCCAAGCTGCATCGCAATCAAATTTAAGAATGTCAATTCGTTATTTAAAAATGTTAATTATACATTTTAATGTACGCTATCAAAATATCTCATGTAACCCATAAATATATACACCTACTATACACCCATAAAAAATAAAAAGTGATAAAACCACAGAAAAAAATGTCAGTTCAATCAAAACAAAGTTGATTATCACTCTCAATCAAGGTTCGCATCTGGAAGATCGAGAACTGCACGTCAGAGTTCTCTTGGAAAAGCTCTAGGAATCCTGGGCTTCCAACGAGTTGAAGGAACATAGGATGAAACCATGGAAGTCTTCCTCAGATCTGGGGAGGGAGCCTGGCCCAAGAGCCCGTGGAGCTAATGAAAACAGGTAGTAGGGGACGCTCTACAGTAGTCCTCTCAGTTATTCAATTAGAGGTCCCAATTTTGAACGATATAACTGGGATTTCAATACCCTGAGTGATTTAGACACATCAGAAAAAAATACGACAGAAAACTATAGTTTCTTTACAGCCTTAGAAAAGGAAAACGCGTAATTTCTAACTCCAGGAGGACAGTATTCGAGTACGTGGGTTTCTTTCACCCCCGACGTGCACTTCAACTTTTAAAATGCTTGCTCTGGTGGTCCACAGTACTTTCGCGTTCACTGGGCGGTACCATATCTCTCAATAGATTTGATCCAAAACCCCAAGTGCGGGAGACAAAGCTAGGTGGAACGTTATTAACCCTCCACAACTCCAACCTCTACTAGCTTCCTCGGAGCAGGCGAGGCACCAGGCCCGTGAGAAAACACTGAGATCTGGGGCGTAGCTGTGACATGGGGTATTTCTGGCCGGGATCTCACCGGGTAGGCTCCACCCGCGGGTTATCGGCTCCCTCCAAGAAGCATCTTTGAACTCCTCCCATGCAGGCCCTATTCCTACACCAGTTCTCTTTCTGGAATCTCTTTGGTACTGTGTTTCATTAATCCCACAACCATATTCCCACCTATTCCCTAACGACAACAAACTTTTAAGGTCCAGGTTACCGCCGCGTCTCCCTAGCAACCGTGCCCTTTAATGGTTGCCGGAAGAGGCTATAATCACGTGCTCCGAAGACTTCCGGGTTTCCAACGTGACTTCCGGTTGTCAGAATTTACCCCTGACGCGGCGGCGGCCGACGGGAAGCTGTGTGTGCTTAGGTCGTGGTGGCCCCGGTGGTGGTGGGCTCCGGGCGGGCTCGCGTCATCCTGCCCCCGCTGCGATGCATCCGCGGCGCCCGGACGGATTTGATGGCTTGGGCTACCGGGGTGGTGCCCGGGACGAGCAGGGCTTTGGCGGCGCCTTCCCTGCAAGGTCCTTCAGCACCGGGTCGGACCTGGGCCACTGGGTGACGACTCCCCCAGATATCCCCGGCAGCCGCAACCTGCACTGGGGCGAGAAGAGCCCGCCCTACGGCGTGCCCACCACCTCCACCCCGTACGAAGGCCCCACGGAGGAACCCTTTTCCAGTGGCGGCGGCGGCAGTGTGCAGGGGCAGAGCAGTGGTGAGAAGCATGGGGACCGACACAGGGATGAGGGGTTACTGGGGCCGCGGCTTGCGGCCTGCAGACCCCGGAAGCGGCGCAGAGGATCCCGCCTCCTATTCCTTCTCATCCTATCGCGCGCCACACCCTTTGCCCTCCTTTGGTCCTCTGCCCCTGAGGCTGGCCTCCTCTTCCTCACAAACGAATTCTCCTGGATCAACTCCAAAAAAGACATCTGCCTTAGCTATGGGGTGCATAGCAGGAATTTTTAGAGGTTTTGGTGTCTCAACTGATGGTCTGAGTTAAAAAGGAGATTGGATTATTAACTGTTCCCTGATTCACTTTGGCAGCTCTATTTTCTTGATTTAATTAATTAATTAATGTGTTTACTTGTAGTTTTGTGTTCTGAAAAGAGAAGCCTTTCAGCATAAGCATACTTGGGTTCAAACTTGGTTGTGCCACTCGTAATCTGAACAACTTAACCTCTGTGAGCCCTCAGTTTTCTCATCTTTAAGATGTGTAGAAGAATCCTGTATGGGACACATAGGCTAAAAAAAAAAAGTTTCCTTCCTTTTCCTTTTTGAACACAGGAGTTTTGTCTGCTTTTCAGATCCCCAGTCTAGAAAGTTTCCTTCCTATAATTTTCCTTTCTGCTTTCCTTCTGCTGACCTAAAAACTACATATAAAAGTTAGAAACACTGATACAATTTCAAGATAGGACTTCGGAATCATGACATAATTATTCTCCATGGGATGTCAGAAAAGCTGCAACACTGCATGATGTAGATATTTTCAACATCCTTTTTTATTCATAAAATGTGAATAATGGCTACCTCTTTCTATTCTTCTGGAATTGTTAGAATAATAGATTAATGGTATTAATATTAAATTTATTGTAGAAATCAGCTTTATTCTTATTTCCTCGACTTTGACTTGGAAGTACAATAATATTTAACTAAGAAGAACAGACTAACGAATGTCTAGTGAGTAAATGAGGATGTGAAGAAAGATAGATGACTTACCTAGCTAATTGTCATACAATTAGCTTTTTGACTCTTCCCGGTTTAAAGTTATGCTTTGGTGGTTACAATGAGGAGGAGTTCCTTGACACAAGCAGGGGTTTATTTTGCAGCCTTAACAGGTGGGTGAATGTTAATTTTGCAACAAAGATAGACACCTAAGAGACTTACACAGTAAACAAGATTAAACCTTCCTAACACCTTCCAGAAAATGCTAGTAGCATTTTCTGTTGCTATTTGGGGATGATCTATACATACAAAATGGGTAAGGCCGGGCGTGGTGGCTCACGCCTGTAATCCTAGCACTTTGGGAGGCCAAGGCGGGCGGATCACGAGGTCAGGAGATCGAGACCATCCTGGCTAACACGATGAAACCCCGTCTCCACTAAAAAATAGAAAAAATTAGCCGGGCGTGGTGGCGGATGCCTGTAGTCCCAGCTACTCGGGAGGCTGAGGCAGGAGAATGGCGTGAACCCGGGAGGCGGAGCTTGCAGTGAGCCGAGATCGCGTCACTGCACTCCAGCCTGGGCGACAGAGCGAGACTCCGTCTCAAAACAAACAAAAAAAGGTAAAATCTAAGGTAAAAGTACCGTAGGTGGGTAAAAGAAGCTTTCTATTTAGCTTATACATTTTTCTAGGGTAAACTGCGTAATTTCCCAGGAACATGCTTAGGTGGCCTTGTTCTGATTGAAAGGGAATAGTGAGGGCAGTTGCTTCACTTGAAAGAGAAGAGGAGAGAAAGAATTGTAACTTGTGAATATTGTATTATAGTTAGAATTTGATGTCTGGTCCCCTGGGGTTGTAATAGTTCACCACTATGACTTTGAGTTTAGTCAAGAAGAAAGGCTTTTCTCTTTTGACATATGCATAGGAATGTTCCCAGCTGTGAACTTTTCCAGTAACATAACAGACATACCATCTGTAGTAGCATTTAGGTATCCAGTAACCTACTCCAATTAATTAAACAGCTAGCCTCAAACTATTTAAAACTTGAAGAGATGGGGGAGAGCTGTATTTACCCATTTTGGTTATCCCTAAGTACCCTTTCAAGTTAATAATTTAGAGGTGCTTTACTTGTAGTTATTGGTTTAATAAAGTGCTCTCCGTCAGTAACAGTGAATAACTAGTTTTACAGCATAAGAGGTAAAGTCGCAGGTGGAATATCAGCTGCGGCCAACCATGGAAAATTTTTTATTTGATTGGAATCAGAAGCTGAAAACTGGTAGCCCTTAGGTTCTGTCCGGATATTTGTTTCATTAGGCCAAGACAATGTGTTAACAGTTTTTGAAATAGTTGTCCAGGACTTTAAAATTGGAAGCTTTTATATAAAATGAGAATATCTTTTTTTGAAAAAATTACAACTTCAAAACCCTGGGCCCACACTCTAATGTGGCAACAATGAATTGGAGTGAAAGCGTAATTGTGCTTTAAACACTCTACACCTTGCAATTTGCCACAGACCCCAGCAGAGTCCTTCATTCATTTAAATTATTTACCTGGCCCCTATCAGAATTTGACTTTGAGGTTTAAATGAACAGCAGGTTAATAAAATAAATTTTTTAAAATTGTTTTGAGACTAAACCTAAATTGTCAGTAATTGGTTATCAGTAATCTTATTTTTTTATTTCTATTTTTTTTTACTTTAGAACAGCTGAATAGATTTGCTGGATTTGGTATTGGACTTGCAAGGTAATGTTTTATCTAAAGACGTTTACAGCTTTTATTTATTGAATTTAGAGTTTTTCTTTAATTTACAATATTAAATGATTATTATTGCTTCCTTTAGGTTGTTTCTTTGAAGCAGCAGCTTAAATTTTGAATAATATTTTGCAGAAAAAAAATGACCATTATTTAAAATATATAATTTGATAGTTTTTCCAGTAAGGATAGACTAGTCATCCAATTTTATAAACACAAAGTAATTTTGTAATGAGTATTGTAACTGTTTTCATGGGTCTATCCAAAAAATAAAATGAAGTGTAATCTTATCTCTCTCCCATCAAAATAATAATTTAGAATGGGGTTCATGAAGATCAAATGGCTCTGCTGATAAGAACTTTTTTCATAGGACATTTTCTGAAAGAAAAATTACATGGCATTTAATGATGCCATGTAACTGACGTGTCATTTCCCACATCAAACATACAGTGATCTAGTTTCATTTTATACCGTAGATATTAATATTGTGTATTATATATTGTTTCCCTTACTTACCTGTTTGCAGATCTGGTTTTCATTCTTTTCATGGGTCTATCCAAAGAATAAAATGAAATGTAATCTGTCTGTCTCCCATCAAAAAAGTAATTGTGCATGGAGGCTTCTTTCTAAACACTCTAATGCTTACAAGATATTTAGCAACATAGCATCTAGATTTTGTTCATAATCAGCGTTTGGTGATAGCATTACTTTTTTTTATATCTAACGATCATTTTAAGAAAATCCTTTAGTCTTGATTATTGTGATCCTTAGTGAATACCATTTTCAAAAATATTGGAATTGCACAAAGCTTACATTTCATGCCATAATGATCATTATTTTAAACATTTTAACGAAGAAAAACACCTTATTTGCATAATTAAACCCGAGGGTGTTAATGTCAATATAAATAAAATCTGTGTTTTCCATTCTGCTGGAGTTGTTTTTTGCTTCAATATTTATACTTAAAGCTTTGATTCATTTGATAGACTATTATTACATATAAATATGTGTGCACATGTATGTATATGTCACTCTGAGACCTGAAACCCACAGCTGTAATTGTTTTGTGGGGCACATTCTCAAAATAAATATTTGATACATAAATATTAGTCAATTAACATGGTCATTAAGAATCTTATAATTTAAGATTTATACTTAAATTTATACTTAAACCTTATAATTTAAGTGCACCAAAACCAAACATTTTTAGAATGGGGTTCATGAAGATCAAATGACTCTGCTGATAGGAATTCTGTTATTAGGACATTTTCTGAAAGAAATAATTTGCAGCATTAAATGCCATTTAATTGATGTGCCATTTCCCACATTAAACATTCAGAGATCTAGTTTCATCTTATACTATAGACATTAATATTATGTATTATGTATTGTTTCCCTTATTTACTAGTATGCAGATCTGGTTTTCATTCTTTTCATATTGAATTTCGTTATGGGTAGAATCATTTGCAAACATTTCTAGACATTTTTAAAGATCTATTTAATTTGTTTAAGAATGGAAAACATAAAATAATGCATGATTCTTCAGGCAAGAATAATTTCAGAAAGATACCTGTTGTAAATTTAATTTATCTCTATGTAGACATACATATACATAAATTATTTTTATATAGTCTCTTTACAGAAAATGTATTGGCACATCCTTGCATTGTTCTACGCCGCCAATGTCAGGTAAATGTAATTTCTGTGATCTTTTGAAGCAATACTTCTGACCCTAATATGAAGGGCAGAACTCACATAAATGACATGAAACCAGGTAATTGTTACTTCATGTGAAATGTTCCAAACTTTTTGGTCTCAAAACCTCTTTAAAGTCTTAAAAAAATATTGAGGATCCTAAATAACTTTGGTTTATGTTGGTCATATCTATTGATAGTTACCATTTCAGAAATTAAAATTGGGAAAATTTCAATGCATCTATATAATTCATTAAAATAATAACACCTGTTAGTAAGATAATATGTTTTTATGAAAGTAACTATTTTGCATTTTTGCAAATATCTTTAATATCTGACATAATAGGAGAGAGCCAGTTTCTCTCGTATGCTTCTGCAGTCAATCTGTTGCATCACGTGGTTTTTGAAAGAAGCAAGGAAGTTTAGTCTTGTACACATGTATAGTTGAAAGCAGGAGAGGAGTATATTATATTCTTTTGAGATAATTGTGGGTATTCTTTGCAATTGCACCAAAACTCACTGTGTCGCAGTTTCTTAAAGGTTATTTGCAATGTGAAATCAGAAATCATTTTAGTGAACTTTTTATACTTTGTTACATTAAAAAATCCATTTAACTATACTGCATCTTGAATAGATATTTTTACTTATGCCTGATTCCATGTAATTGTGCATAAGTTATTTGAAAAATATTGACCAATTGAGTTACATAGATCTTCCTGTTGTTAAAACATTTGATTATAAAATATCAAAAAATCATCTTCATTAAAAATACTACTGATCTCACTAGAAAAGTCTATAAGTATTGTCAGCTCTTGACGATGCATATAGATTTTCCAAAATTCTGAGTTTTAGTTGAAAATTCAAACTTATCATTGACAGTAAATACTGTTATTTATTTTTGTTTTAATCAACAATCTCACTTTGTTTATTTTTTAAAATATGTCTGTCCTGAAAGTGAATAGGTATAGTCCGTCAATGAGTTTTTCTAAGTAAAAATGATGTTCCGTGAAAAAAGTGGCTAGTTTAGCTTGCAGTTCTATCATACAAGTGCTTTCCTCATGACAGCAATCTTACTTCCTTATGTAACACACAGGATATTAATTAGAAAGAGGATGTGTACTCAAAGGTCAAGGATTCATAAAATTAACATTTTGTTACTTCATTGTCAAGGATATTACTATATGAAGGTTGCTTTTTTCTCTCTATGGGTAAATGAGGTGAAAAATTACTGTAAGTACGAAAATACAGTTTGATGGTGCTGCCTCAATTTGTGCTAATGAGCTGGGAGTTTTACCTACCATTGCTTTTGTACCATTAGTGAAAATGTCAAGACAGTGAAAAAAGGAAATTATATCTTAGTAATCACTAGGAAAATAATTTTGAACTTGTCAAGCCCCTGAAAGGGTAATGGGGCCCTCAGGAGTCAGTGGACCCCACTTGCAAACTCTGTTATAACCCACTTTTTTTTTTTGTTTGTTTGAGACGGAGTCTCGCTCTGTTGCCCAAACTGGAGTGCAGTGGCATGATCTCGGCTCACTGCAAACTCCGCCTCCTGGGTTCACGCCATTCTCCTGCCTCAGCCTCCCGAGTAGCTGGGACTACAGGAGCCCGCCACCGTGCCCAGCTAATTTTTTGTATTTTTAGTAGAGACGGGGTTTCATCGTGTTAGCCAGGATGGTCTCGATCTCCTGACCTCATGATCCGCCCGCCTCAGCCTCCCAAAGTGGTGGGATTACAGGTGTGAGCCACTGCGCCCGTCCTGTTATAACCCACTTTCTCTGTAAAGTAATGCTTCCTG
This sequence comes from Homo sapiens, assembly GCF_000001405.40. NCBI lineage: Eukaryota > Metazoa > Chordata > Mammalia > Primates > Hominidae > Homo > Homo sapiens. The sequence continues at coordinate 110,745,591 of NC_000005.10, forward strand.
TATTTGTTAGCTGTTAGAGTTCAAAACAGTATAAATCATTATAAATTAATCTGTTCATGCTTAGCACTGAAAAGTATGTATACAGAAATACCATTAAAGTAGCATTGACTGTATGTGCCACAGAACAGTGTATTTCAGATATATATTTTACATTGTAGTAATATTAACATGGAGATCCAATGGATACATTACATATAAGTAACAAATATATTATTTTTAAATGTTTTATGAAATAATACCATTAGAATGTAATACATTCTAATATTTTATTGTTTCACATAATAAATATTGTTTTGACACTCCCCCAGTTGATTTCATATACCAGTCAGTTGCCAAGTACAGTTTGAAAAATGCTTGCCTAAAATGAACATGAGTTGGGAGATGTAATTCAGTTGTTTAAGGCAAACCAAATATCAAATAAGACCCTCTTTATTATATAGTCTACAGTACTGTGTGTATTATGCATTGGTCTTCAGATTGTATTTATATAACCATACATACTGTACTTTTAATAGGTTATTTAAAGCACTTTTAAGAGTAATTTTGCTTATGTGTAATTTATGTTGACTTTGGAATTAACTTTTGTTTATACTGCAATTCCACCATATTTCTTTCATGGCTCTGTTATTTCTTGACAAAACATTAACAGAAAAAAATAATGAAATATCTTTTTTACAGGTTAATTACCATGCTCAGCATTACCATCTCACTCCATTTACAGTCATCAATATTATGTACAGTTTCAACAAAACTCAGGTGAGAATTTTGTCTGGATTCTATTAAAGGTTTATATAAGTGTCATTTGGGTTTAGTAATCATTAAAGCAAGAATAATTACTTTCAGTTTGGTCAATAAAACATCTTAACTGTTGTAGTAAAACTAAAGTAGCACAACGATATGTTTTTGAATCTTTCAAAATGTAATTTAGCAAAAGTACAATTTAATTTAGCAAAACCACAAAGAGCTGTGCTAAGATGATGTCTCTGCTATCAAGAGGCTCATATTTATTCATGGAGACAAAATCTTTGAAGATTGTGCTGCAGTAAGATAAAGGCAATATTAGAAGTACAGAATGCTGTCAGAATACAAAAGAGAAGTACCTTATCAAAACTGGGCTTGGGCACAGTGTATGGCTGGGAAAAACTTTGGGAAAAGAAAGGCCCGAATTGTGTGCTTCTTGTTGAGAAGTCTGACTCTTCATGATGAGGATAGAGAAAAGGTTTTTAAAGTAGACGTGTGAAGGCAGAAGACAAAGAGAGATCATAATGTTTGGGAATGGATTTAATGGAGTACAATGGGAGCTTGAAGTGGGGGTTGAAGAGTAAGAGAAAGATGAAAAAGTAGCCAGAGAAGTAAGCAGGATCCAGATTCTAAAGCACCTTCTAAGAACTGCACACTACTAGATCTTAAAAGCTACAAGAGTACTGTTGAAGGTGTTTTAGCCATGACCAAAATATCTTGAAGACCTTTGGATTGTTTGGCAATATCTATTAAAATTTAAAATGTACATGTTCTTTCACTTCCAGGAACTTATCCCACATAGATGTGCACATATATATGCAAAAATATATATACAAGGATGTCCTATGACATTGCATATAATAGACTGGAAATGATTAAATGTCCATCACTAGGGTACCAGTGAAATAATTATGGTATATTATGGTGAAACACCTTGTAACCTTTAAAAATAAGAGGGTAGCTCTGTGTATACTAATGTGGAATGATCTCCAGGATATTTTTTATGTTTCAAGATAATACTACCTGTTAAAAATAAGCAAAACAAAAATATTTCTATAACATACACACACAGATATACTTGTATATGCATGGATTATCCCGATAAATTTTAAAACTGCTGCTGAGGACTGGGATGAAAAGGAGACAGACTTTTCAGCTGATACCCTATTGCTTCTTTTTAATTCTATCATGTATATCTATTAATAATATAGATAATATAGATAAATAATAGGAGTATTACTGATGGTATCATGCAAAGGGGCAAAACCAGAGACAGTGAAACTTGTAGTCAAATTGATATAAAGTAATAGTGTTAAGTATGGAGAAGAGCATGGATTTGTAAGATACTAAGGGAGTAGAATTTGTAGAACCTGGGGACTGATTAGATAGGAAGAGTGAGATAAAAATGTTTTCTAGATATATTGTTTGGACACTAGGATGATGAAGCTGCTATCTAGGGAAATAGGAAATACAGCAGAGAAGGAAAGAATTGGTGTGGTATGAGTGAGTATGATTGGGTTAAGTTGTGGATATGTAAGTTTCAAGTTACCTTGTGTCATCCACAGGACAGGACTAGTAGGGAGTTGAATATATAGATATTAGGGATATTTAATAAATTAGTTAATCATTAGGGGTTTTAATTAATAGGAATGTTCTTCTTGGCCTAAGTATAACTTTAAAATGATATAAAATTAATTGTAGTTCTCTACTAATATTTCTATTAGAATAATGTTTTATTGGAAAATGTCTACACAATATCAAGTTTTATTAAGATCTTTTGTGTTTCAGATGTAGGTATTAACAGAAATAACATGAATTTTGTTCAATTTAGGGACCTAGAGCCCTGTGGAAAGGAATGGGAAGTACATTTATTGTCCAGGGAGTCACACTTGGAGCAGAAGGCATAATTAGTGAATTTACACCTTTGCCAAGGTACCATTTTTAGCATTTCTTCAGTATTAGTTTCATGTGGTGATGTGTTTTTAGATGCAGGCGGTACATGTGCAGGCTTGTTACATGGGTATATTGTGTGATGCTAAAGTTTGGACTTCTAATGATCCTCTCATCCAACAATTCTCAATTGTGTAAACATCATACCCAATAGGTAGCTTTCAACCCTTGTCCCCATCCCTCCCCTATTATATTGTTTTAATAATAAATAAAAAATACCTTGAATCTGAAAACTTGTCTGAAGTAACTAAAAGAAAAAACAAAGAATAAAATTAATTATATATTATTAAATTAGTATGTGATAAAGAAAATGTGTCTTGGCTTAGTATCTATTGAGATGTATCTTTCAGCTTCTACTGCTATGTGCCAGCAACTGCCAGCTGAGGAACAAATGTGGGTATGTGAGCAATTCCCGCTCTTTAAGTATTCATTTAATGAAGGAGACACATGTAAGCAAGAAGAGGTAACATGTCCAATGTCACGGGGTTGGACAGTCTAGGTAATAAAAGAAGTGTCTTATGTTTGGAATATTGGGTATGTATGAAATTGAATATCAGGAAAAGAAGCTGAGGTGCTACATTAAAATACGATTGTGCCTTTTTAAGTTTATTCTCTATGGGTTTGGAATGTGTTTCTTTTTTTAATATATAGATGTTCTGATCAAGATATATTCAAATGGCAGTATAAAATAAATGGAGTTGTATAGACAGATTTATGGAGATCTATTGTAATAATCTAGGCGAGGCTGAGAAGGTTCTGAACTGTGGAACAGAACAGAAAGGGATGAGCTGGCTAGACATTTCTGAAGTATAGTCGATGGTCATTATGTTAGCTTGGTAATTGGAGATAGGAGAGAATGAGTTGTCAGTAGTGACTGAGATTTCTAGATTGGAAAATGTTAACCAAGATGGAGAATTCAAGAAGAAGAAAAAGTTGGAGTAGGGAAGAAGATAAAGAATTTATCTTTCAATAAATGAAGTTTGAGATTCTTGCAAGACATTGAGGGAGAGGGACATGTCTCATATTTGGTTGGAACCATGGATCAGAGTAAAAAAAAAAAAATAGAAAATTGAAGCACAGGGAGAGCTTTGGGTATTGTGGCATAAAAGTAGCAGCTGAAGCTTAGGATAGATGAAATCACCTAAGGAGAAAGCATAGATTAAATGAATAAAATGGACCAAGGACAGAATCCTAGGCATACATGTGTGCCGTGTGTGTGTGGGAGCGGTGGGAAGGGGGGTAGTTGGGGGAGATAATGAGAGAAATTAGAGAGGGCCTCAGACAAATTGGAAATAGCATAAGATGTAGGACAATCATGTTCTAGAAACCAAAAATGGGAGAATTAGAAGTGTAGATACATTTGAGAGAGAGGGTAGAGAAATTAGGGAAATTTGCTTTTGGGTCTCTCTTTTCTCTGTGAAGCAGGATACAGGGTTATTTGGTGAAAAAATGATAAGCATTGGGGTTGTAGTAGAAAAGCATGAGAGGAATGATACACATTTGGGACAGTCACAATGATGGGTAACAAAGGAATCTTACAAAGAGTATATGAAAGGAATGTTAATAGGTAATATTGGAAATTAGAAATTTTTAAGGTGCTATTTGGCATTACTCTGATTTTCTATATCAGCACTATATTTTTGTATATCATCCTATCGATAATGTTAAAGGCTTTGGAATGGTTTGTTAATCCAAATTTATTCTCTGGCAAGGTGAATTTTTTGCATTGTTAAAGAAGTGAGATAGTTGAAGGCATAGCTACTAGTGTAACGCATATGCCCAATGTTGGGATTTAGTCCTTACAGGGAAGGAAATGAAAGCAAGAGAAACTGATAGTAAGCTTTTTTCCAATGTGATTGCTTTTGAAGGACCTCGTAGTCTTGAAGTGCCTTAAATAAACTTTGCTAAAACGTTTGAAACAAAACAAAGATTAGAAAGGTCAGCAACATTTGGGCAGCTCAGAGTTTCTTGTTTTATTCTTTAAAAATCTGTATTTCGTTGTTTGGCTAACTATTCACTTTATTGCTTTTATATCACTAGATAAGATCCCAAGTTAGTACTTATAGTCAAATATTCTTGAAATTCTTTAACAAACAATTCTGTAAAAAAATAACAAAATGCAGGAAATTCCATTTGGTAGAGTGAAAAAAATTCAATGCAGTTGTTCCTCATATCTGTAGGGGATTGATTCCAGGACCCCCAGTGGATACCAAAATCCAGAGATGCTTAAGTCCCTTTTATAAAATGGTGTTGTATTTGCATACAACCTGTACATAACCTCCTGTATACTTTAAATCATTTCTTGATTCCTTGTAATACCAAATACAATGTAAATGCTATGTAAATAGTTGTTATTCTATATTGTTTAGGGAATAATGACAAGAAAGAAAAAAACTCTGTACACATTCAGTACAGATGCAACTATCCCTTTTTTAAATAAATATTGTAAATCCGTAGTTGCCTGAATCCATGTATGTGGAACCCATGGATATGGAGGGTTGACTATATTTGCAACCAGAACACTATTGGTTCAGGTCCTGGCTATTCCACTTTTTATTTCTGGGACCTTATGCAAGTAATGTTGCCTCTCTAAAGCAGAGATGAAGGAATAACATTAATTTCAGGCTACAGGGAAGAAAAAAGAAAAATAGGAATGGGAAGGCATAGGACTTTATAAAATTTTATCATCTAACTTTCTTACTCAGTAGACAGACATGTCAACTGAGTGGGAATATATTTTCATCATTTTGAATCTTTCCAAAGAAGACAAAATAGTAACCTCTATTGCATTGTTCTACTTGGATAATTTTGGTGATAAGGCCCACTCATTAATTCATTCATTTACTTGGCTAACATTTCCTGAGTACTTACTATGTGCCAGGTTCTGTGCTAAAAACCGGGTTTACAGTGAGGAAAATAAACAAAAGGTAACTGTTGCCAGGAAGCTCAGAATCTAATAAAAGTACATTCACTAAGAACAATAATTCCATTAATGAATAATTGCAAATTGAAATTTGTTTTCTGAAGCAAAAGAATATAGTTCCATGAAAGTATTAAAGGGCTAGAAACAGTGTCCCTAGTAACATGACACTTAAGGTAGATCAGAGTGGTAATTAGGAGGTACATACCAGTTTGTACAAAAATGCTGTTGCAGTGGGGAGCCTAGAGAATTCAGGTGTAACTGAGAGAAGCCTCACATGGCTGGAGCTCTGGCCAAGGGTAAGGGTACAGAGCAGGTGGGAGCCAGAACATGTGTGGCCCTGTAGGCCATTTTAAGAATATTGAAGAGGTTCAGTAAGGTCAGTGACATCAGATTTGTTTTCAAAGGGTCATTGTAACTGTAGATGAAAAGGTTGTATGAGGACCAAAGTGAATAAAAGGAGACATCTTAGTATTCTATTACAATAATAAAGGTAAGAAAAGATAGTGGCTAAGATCAGGGTGGTATCTTTTGAGATAGAGGTAAGTGGACAGTTTTGAAATATACTTAGGTCAAACTGAGGGAATTTGGTGATGCTTTAGGAATGGTAGATCAAAGAGAAGGCAGTATGAAGAATGACTTCTTGTATTTGGGCTTGTGTAACTAGTTGTCAAATGAAGCTGTTTTTTTGAAGTATAGTGTGAATATCTTTTAAAAAATTATTTATTCTTCTTTGGGCAGATTTGACCTTTCCTATTAATGGGAAGAAGGCAGAGTTTGTTTCTGTATCCTATTAATGGGAAGAAGGAGCAAACAAGGTCACAAAACATTAACAGCAGTTCACAGAAGCTACTACATGAGGAGGATGAGCTCTGAGGTCTCCTAGCCTGGGGTTTTTTAATTGCGTAACATTTACTAGGTAGAACAGGGGAGATAGTACAGATTTGCCAATATTTAGGGGTTTTTAAATACAGTTTATGATCAAATCAAAGAGAAAAACAGCAGATCTCTAGTGTTCATTAAGTCAGCAAATTTATAATTTCTCAGTAGTATTACTTTTTAACAAATTATATATTAGCCAGGATCGTCATGTGTGATCTCTTTAGCAGTAGATACTGCTAAACCCTTCCCTGTTCTCTCTCCCAGTTGCAGTGAGTTAAACCATGTGTCGTTCTACCCCCACAGTACCCTTTACTTAATTTACATGTGGCTTTTTTCAGACTGTTAACGCGAGGTAGGAGTTCCTGTAACCAAGGCTACCTGTGTGGTTCAGTCTCTCACAAAACCCATTTGGTTCAACTCCAACTTAGTTTTGACTCATCACACATCTGTGGTTATACCACTGTAAACATCTTGTAGTTTTCCTCCAACGGTTCCCTCCGAATTTGCTTATTTTAAACACACGTTATTTTAAACACAATGAAATCTTCCTCAAATTCAATAGATTTCCTTTCTGATTAATAGTTCCTGAGTAGGGAACACTGAAAGAGTTTAAGTAGAAAAGAAAGATTTTAAGTTGGACTTTAGTACAAGTGCATTTTCAGATCTTTTATCATATCCAGATGGAGTTGTCTGTAGGCACATGATATGGGGCTGGCATATAAAGAATTCTTAACTGAAGGTAAATTAATTTGGGAGATTTTGAAGCTCTAACCCTAGATATGAGCGTCGCTAGGGAAGAAGGATACACTATGGTAGAAGAATAGAGTCTGAACCTTAGGAACTCCAACCAAGGGGTGGCTGGGTTAAGAAAGGTGGTCTTGAAAAGGAGTCAGGAGAGACCAGAAGGCAGGATAAAAACCAACAGAATGGGCTAGTGGAGCACAGGGGCAAAGAGTGCTTCAAGGAGAGAAGAGGCTCTGATGGCTGCTGAAATGTCAAATAAGGTAGAGACTTAAAAATGTCCATCAGATTTAATGACATGCAGATTATTGGAGACTTTGGTAAGAGCTGTTTTTGTTCAAAACCAATTTGAAGTGGGTTCAGAGGTGAGTGGGAAAGTACAGACGTGGAAACAGAAAGTTTAGATGGTTGGCTCTGACTAGGATTGATGAAGAGAGGTAACTGGAAGATGAGGGGTTTAGAGTAGGTTGGGGTAAGTTTTTTTTTTTTTTTTTTAATTAGGATAGCTATTTGACCATTTGAAAATTAAAGACTGCTGAGACAGAGTTATTTTAGAATTTTATTGCCTTTTTTGTGTTGATTATGCATAGGAGTATGTGTTTTGATTTGTTAAATGAAAAACTAGACTGTTTTGAGAAAAGCAAGGTACTCGAATAAATTTTATTAATTTTTTCGTTCATTAGGGAGGGCATTTTTTGCTTGGAAATAGATAATTTAGATATATTTACATGTTTGGTATTTGATAATGAATTATAAAAAGGTTTAGTGACTGAAGCTTTTAAGTATGCTTATTTAAATTTCTAGAGCTGTAACAGTAAATTTTACCCATTTTATAAAGTAGTAGAGAACAGATACAAAGAAGAGTCCCAAAAGCATTTTTTTAAATACTTGGTTTTAAGTCTCCTTTTATCTTAATGATCTTAAGAATTGGCAGTAGTCATCAAAGGGGAGGTAACTCAGAATTGACATTGTATTTAAAGGGGAGGCTACCCAGTCCTAAGTGTTTACCACAGTTTCATACTTAAAATTGGTGTCGTCATAAACTGTGGTAATACTTTGTGAGGCCATGAGTATTAGCTGTGCCAAGATGATTTACAAAGCATGTAACGTATTTTGTTTTATAATCATAAAGTAACTTTCAGTAAGATGGGAGGCCTAATCTATTTTTTATATTTTTCGACTTAATCATTGAATAATATGATTTCAGCTACATTGTGTTGTTCAGGCCAAATAAATATCCTAATAGTAATTTAATCAGAGTTCGGCCCAGAAGGTGCTCTAAGGTCTTAGAAATCGGGGGTAGTTGCTCTATTGTCTGAAAGTCTCTGATGTATGTATATGCTGTTGTTTTTCAAATTCAGTCATGTGAAATAGAAAATGTTTATCTAGATTCCTGCTGTAGCCATAGCCATGATGGAATGAGTACCCATTCCATCAGAGAAACTGTTGGTAGCAAGTCTTATCTTTATTTTGCACTTCCCTTTCTGTTTTTTTTTTCTCTTTTTCTTTTCATTTTTCTTCTATCTCCCCTGCCTTTTCATTTTTTTCTTCTTATTTACTTTCTTTTTTTTTCTTTTCTTTTTTTTTTACCCTCTATAATCTTGACTCTTTTTGGACTTTTCTCTTGATAGAACTTACTCCCTTTTTTCACCTTTGGTTCTATTTCATTTCAGCTTGCCTCCCTCCCTCCCTTCCTTCTTTCTTTCTTTTTTTTTTCTTCCTTCCTTTTTTTTCTTTCTTTTCTTGTTTTCCAAAGGTAACCAAACTAGCAGACAGAATGCACAAAATCCTACACCTTGGTTCCAGACCTGGCATTTTTGCCTGTTTCCTTTGAACATTTTCCTGTGATCTTTTTGACCCTGATTTTTCTCATCAGTAAGACAAGTGTGACAATATCTGCTCTGCTTATCTCACAAGGTTCTTCTTTGTATCAAATAAGATGAGAGGCAGTACAGGCAGAGAGTACCGGGGTTTAGAACAGAGTTCCACACTAACTGGTTACTTGGCTTTGGATGAGTTATTAATCCCCTCTGATCCTATCTCCTCATCTATGAAATGGAGAAAATAGGGTTATTATGAAGATTAGAAATAGTTCATGCAAAGCACTTTGCATAGTCATGGCATTTAGTAGGTGCTCACAAAGATAATAGAATATAATGGTCACAAAATTATGTAATTGTACTAAGTAAAGATAATTCAGAAATTAGGTACTACATAAATGTAATGTGTCAGCCTGCATTAGAGTTACTTAACTTTTTTAAAAAATTGTCATTCTTATATACTTTGTAAAGCCTTTTTTAATCCTGTTCTTTGTTTCCATATCTATTCTCTTTCTTTTAACCAATCATCTTAATTTTCTTCCTTTAATTTCTCATGTTTACTTTCATAATCAGTTGTGCCTCTTGCTTCTCTGCCAGCCCCTTCTATCAGCACGTATGAAAACACCTTGTATTTTTTTCTCTCAAACCATCACAGTTGTTTACACTGTGTTCTAGAAAAGAAAATGTTCACCATTAGAATATATTTCTCCTACAGATTGAAAAAAATTAGAAGTTGATTACTGTTTTGAAAATTGGGCTAATTCCAGATGTTTTAAATAACATGGCTTTTGTTTTATTTAAGTTTATTTTTATGTTTTAGGGAGGTTTTACATAAATGGAGTCCTAAACAAATAGGAGAACACCTTCTACTGAAATCGTAAGTATCAAAAAATGGCATTTTTATTGGGCATTTTCACTAATTTTTATAGTATTAGAACTGGAAACAAATCTTATTAAATAACTGTAGAGAAGGAAATTAGAGCAGTGAAATGTTGGTGGGACTATAACTTCAAAGGACAAAGTAACACAGAGTTTAGGAATAAATCCTGAAATATATATTATCTTTAAAATAAATTCCTAATTTGAAAGGCTAGAATCACAGACTAATTTTGTGTATGTTTTCTTAGGAAGTTAGCATAGGTCTTCAATTTATTTAACCCAGATTTTCAAAGAAAGTATAACTATTTTATTGTTAATCAGAGATGCAAATGTATTTGTATGGTGATAAGCAAACCCAAAAAACCTTAGTGACATTGAAATGTAGTCCTGAAGGCACTTAGTGATTTTACAACGGTAACCATTTTTGTAGATTAGAATTTTATTCTTCACTTTTTAATTTTTTTTTTTGAAGATTGTGAATTGGAAATCCCCCAGCTTGCTGGCTCCCTCAGTGGGACATTCCAGCACATTATTACTTAGTGATGTTCCATTCACCTTGAAAACCACTACTTGCCAGGACCTGGCCCATAAGGGTTAGGTAAGTCCCACCTTGATATTATTTTGAATAACTATATTTTGCAGGCTTGCAAAGTTGTAATATTACTATGTCTAAATATTGGTGATAGGAAACAACTTTGCAAAGCTGTATAATGTTTTTTTTTTTTTTTAATAATAAAAGGGACTTCACTCACCATTGAAGACTGGCCTAACTCTGCTGGATGGGAAATCTGGGAATTGATATAAGAGGATAGTAACAGAAAAGTTACTTGCTCAAATATCACTAAAAAGGCAAACTATGGAATGGATCCCTCATCCTCAATTTTAAGTTTTAGATTTATAGGCTGCATTAGCTATGTGTAGGTAGATGTCCAATCTATTTTCTTTGCAGGCTGTCCTTGTTTTATCATTTGATTTTTTCATCTCTGTTGAATAAAGCATCCTACGTTACAGATTTCTGAAGTTAATATTTTTAGGCTGTAGGTATTAATAGTTGAAAACCTTAAAAAGATTATTCTAGCTTGACTATAAATTATGTTGACATATTAAAGCAGATATTAAAAAATTTAGTATAAGCATCTTGTTTCAGTATACTGATAAATTTGTTTTAATTTCTATAGCCTAACTTACGTGGTGGCAATGCCTTTTTATTCAGCAAGTCTGATTGAAACAGTGCAGGTGAGCTTTTTTTTACTGTCATTTTTTTTTTATTTAAGAATAGTTTTTTGACTATTCAGTATATTGTAGATATCTAACATTTCAGCAGAAAATTTTAAGACTATGTCTTAAAATATTTATTTTATAAATATCACAGTTATATCGCACGTTGCTTGTCTGTATATTTCCATTGGTATCTTAAGTCACACTTCTAGTTTTAATTATTTTTGTCCTTTCCATAGGCAACTATACTCTTCATTTAGACATCTCAGAACACAGCCTATAACTTGCTCTGAAAACAAAGAATCTATAAACTTTTTAAGGCCCTTACATACAACTCAGATGGTTATGGCTTATCATTGGACAGTAAATTAATAATTACCTGAGAATAAACATGATGGATAATCATCCGAACAGGAAGCAGGTTGTCCCCACAGGTAGTTTACTGACAGGATTCTTTTAAAACATGCCTTTAAGTGACATTTGATACTATTGGGTGTGGTAAATACTACAAAGCTGAAGCAATTTTCTGCTAGCACTTGAAATTCTGTTTGCTTGTGTTACTATTCCTAACCACATGGTGGCGCTTCAAGTACATTTAATTAAATGTCTTACCCTCCTTCCTACACTTAAAACTGTAAGATGAAGGTAGTTTTTACTTCACCTGTATACAAAATCCAACTATTTGTACACCTGTCTTCTATTTCCACATCAGATCCTCTAGCATATTCTTTTCTCTAGTATATGTGAGTGCCCTCTCTGTAAAAACTCGCACTGGATCAGCCTTTGCTCTTCTAATTACTCTTTTCTACCTTGTTTCTTTTCTGGCTGTATCATTCATCTTTGATTTATGATTATTATTATTATTATTTCTGTTAGAACTAACTTCAGTTAACTGAAGTTAGTGTCTTGCGACCCAAATCATACTTTCCCTTCCCCTTGCATTTGGCATTGTGTTAAATAAATGATGAATTTTTGTATGGTGCTATAGAATTTACAGAGTTGTCACTTGTATGAGATAGCCTCATTTTAAAGGTAAGGGAAAAATGTCAGGAAGGTAATTATTTAAGGAAAAACAACTAAGCAGAATGATTTATTGGGGAAAACAATTTTTAGCTTGAGACAGACCCATTATCACATTTCTCTGCTTAAATTAGACCTGGGACTTTAGACAGATTTCTTAACCTTTATAATTTTCTTATCCATAAATTGTGAATAGTATTTTAATAACTGACGTGTAACATTGAATGAGTTATTTATATAAGTGCCCGGCTCACTATGTGATAGGGTTTTTTCTGTGTATGTGTTTTTTTTAACCCAGTATTTACTCCTTGTTTCCTGCTTCAAGTTCCACTTGCTAACTCCTTTTGATCTCTTTTGTCTGCTTTTCTAGAACTCTTTTTTCTTTAGATTTCTCTCTCTTGAACATCTTTTTTCAATAATGCCTTTGCCATCTCTTGTCTTATACCTTAAGGCCCAATCCTTGACCCTCTGTTTTTTATCCTATACTCATTATTCTGAAAGAGCTAATTTATTCACAGGAATCATTAGCTCTAATCTCATGTGAGTTAAATCTTCAGACTCAACTTTTAAAAACAATCTCATCTGTCCCTCTAAAAATTAGCTTCCTTTAGAACCTCTTCTCCTTGGCAATATATTAGTGATACTATTGTTATCTTCACACTAAAGATTCAAAACTTTAGTTTTTGTTTTAGGAAAGTTTTTTATTTTTACATTTCTTTCATCCTTCATAATTACCCAGTCATCATGAACTTTGTAGTTATCTATTTCTTCATTAAGAATCCTTGAGGCCTAGGTGGGCGGATCATGAGGTCAGGAGTTCGAGACCAGCCTGGCCAACAGTGAAATCCCATCTCTACTAAAAATACAAAAATTAGCCGGGTGTGGTAGTGGGCGCCTGTTGTCCCAGCTATTCAGGAGGCTGAGATGGAAGAATCGCTTGAACCCGGGAGGCAGAGGTTGCAGTGAGCTGAGATCACGCCACTGTACTCCAGCCTCGGTGACAGAGTAAGACTCTGTCTTAAAAAAAATAAAAAAGAAAGAAAGAAAGAAATCCTTGTACTAGTCTCCACATTTTAAAAGTCAATACTCATACAAGATTGTTTTCAAGTTGCAATACTTATATATATCCTTTTACTGATTAAGGATTCATATTGACTCATATTCCCTAAAATCAACTTCAGACTTCTTATTATAGTTTTAAACCAAGGTTTTAATTACATCACTTTACCTTTCAGATTTGCAGATTATCTTAACTGCTAAACTTTTAAAAAAAATGTATCAATTGTTTATTGAGTACTTGCCTATATCAGGTACTGTTATAGACCCTGGGGATACAACAGCAAACAAAACCAAAATGCTCTGTTCTCATAGCACTTATATTCTTATGGGGAAAGTAGACATAAACAACTAAATAAAAGGTATATTTCATGGCGATTAACTGCTAAAGAAAGCAAAAATAAAGCAAGGAAGGCAAATAGGATGTGTAATGGGTAGGGAGGGGCGGTTAATATTTTTTTAAGAAGATAAGTAAAGGTCTCACTGAGAAGGTGACATTTGTGTAAAGATCAACATGCATATTTGGGAGAATATTCTAAGTAGAGGGAAGGCAAGTGCAAATGCCCTTACATGGGACTGTGTCATGTGTGTTGTATCATACATGCTTGAGAAGTAGGAAGGATGCCGATGTGGCTGGTGCTAACTAAGCACAAAATAAGCAAATGTTGAATTGTATTTAGAGGGAAAGCAGGTGCAAAAACTCTCAAGTGGGACTGTGTCATGTGTGTTGTATCACACATGCTTAAGAAGTAGAAAGGAAGCTGTTATGGTTGGTGCTAAGTAAGCAAGGGGGGAATACAGGAGATGAGGCCTGAGTGGTAAGAGGGGACCAGATTACATAGGACATTGTAAATCATTGTAATAATTGGGCTTTTGTTTGAGAAGGATGGAAAGTCTTTGATAGGTTTGAGCAGAGCGGTGGTGTGATCTGACTTACATCTTTATTAGGATCTCTTTGACTGTTGCATTAAAAATAAACTGGAGTGGGAAGGATGTCAGGGTCAGAAGTAGGAAGATGGATTAGAAGGCTAGGCAAGCTCACTGTCATCTCATAGTTTTAAATATCATCTATTTACTAAAGACTCCCACATTTATAATACAGTGCTCCTCCACTCACGATGGGATTACATCCCAATAAACCTGTCATAAATTCGAAAAATCTTAGGTTGAGACATCGTAAGTTGGAAACCATCTGTAGGTCCATTGTGTACCTTTTTCTGTAATTTCTATTGTGAACTCCATTTGGAGTTAATTTACTTAACATTTCTGAACTCTTGATCTTCACCAAATTGCTACTCTGGCAATTTTTCATCTCAATAAAAGGCAGTGCTATTCCCCCAGTTCCTCTGGACAGCAACCTTGGGGTTATCCTTGACCCTTCTCTTGCATACCCCAAATGCAATTCACCAGTAATTCCCATAGACTTTGATTTTAGGATAAAAGCACAATTGAACCACTTTACTTCTGTTGCCACCTTCTAGTCCAAGCCACCATCATCTCTTTGTTACTGGAATCATTCCAGTAACTTTTGAACTGGTTTCTCAACTGATCTTGTTCTCCTTTGCACAACAGCCAGTATTCTTTCAAAATACAAATTATGTCATGTCCGTCTTCTGCTTAAAATCAACCAGTTATTTCCCATCTGACTAGAAGCCAAAGTCTACAGATTAGTCTCTAAGGCATGATATAGCCCCTGGCTACCTTATAAATTTCATCTGCTACTTTCCTGCAGTCATTGCTGCAGCCAAAGTGCCTTTTGGCAAGTTCTTTTCTATCTATCTATACCTCGGTAATCCACATCAAACTTTCTTATTCATATCCCCAAAATTCTACAAAAGCAGACATTGCAGGTGGTAATAAGACTAACATTTATTGAGTGACTCCTGAGTGCCAAGCCTTTTTTCATTTAATATTCACAACAACCCTGTGCATAAAAAGTAGACAGTGCTCATTTCCATTTTTGTAGAATGCGAAACTGTGCTTAGGAGAAGTTAAGTAACTTGACAATGGTTACATAGCCAGTAAGTAATGGAGCCAGGATTTAAACATGTTTAAGAACTATAAGCACTATATTGTCTCCTTAAGCGTTACATAGTTATTGCCTTTCCATGTGAGTTCTAAGAAGTTTCTTGAGATGTATCCACCTACACATCTCCCCAGTCTCCCTACCCCAATAAGATTAGCTCCCAACTTCACTGCTAGCAATTTTATGAGATTTCATTTGAAAAAAAATCTGATGCCTAGATAACAGTTAAAGTCTGCAAATCATGGATGTTTCCCTCTTCAGTCACTATGTTAGGATTTAAAAGGAACCTAAAAAGAGTCCTTTTTCTGTGGCAAAATAAGCAAATGTTAAGTTTTACTTATTTCATCATTTTTATTTCAGAGTGAGATAATTCGAGATAATACTGGCATTTTGGAGTGTGTTAAAGAAGGAATTGGAAGAGTGATAGGCATGGGAGTGCCTCATAGCAAACGACTTCTTCCGCTTCTTTCCTTGATCTTCCCTACGGTGCTTCATGGAGTTCTTCATTACATCATCAGCTCAGTTATTCAGAAGTTTGTCCTACTAATTCTAAAGAGAAAGACTTACAATAGCCACCTAGCTGAGAGCACTAGCCCTGTGCAGAGTATGTTGGATGCTTATTTTCCAGAACTTATTGCTAACTTTGCTGCCAGTCTTTGTTCTGACGTTATACTTTACCCATTGGAAACAGTTTTGCACCGCCTTCACATTCAAGGAACACGCACAATAATTGACAATACAGACCTTGGCTATGAAGTGCTTCCAATTAATACACAATATGAGGGAATGAGAGACTGTATCAATACCATAAGGCAGGAGGAAGGAGTGTTTGGTTTTTATAAAGGGTTTGGTGCTGTTATAATACAGTACACACTGCATGCAGCTGTTTTACAGATTACCAAAATTATTTACTCTACACTTCTTCAAAATAACATTTGAGATTTAGGTTCCTTCACTGAGTAGTCTGGAAGATATAATCTGGATAATTTGCTATGAAGTTATGAGGGATACAAGTGAAATACTGGGGAAGAAAATGGATTGGAAAGTAAAATTGGTACTAAAGCCCATACTGATTATCTTGACTTTGTTTTTTAAGGCATAGGTATATATTTTGGATCAAAATCCTTCCAAATTTGAAAACTCAATAAAAATAACACTTATTAAATTCTAGTTAGTGTAGCACTCATGCTGAAGTAAACATGATCGTAGGCAGAAGCAAAATTTTATTATAAAATCTAAAACAAAACTTTATAGAGTTGAATCTATTCCATCTGACTTCAATATTTGCCAAACGTTTATTTTACCTCCTAGATTGATGTTGGTATAGTATCCTTAATACAGTGTAGTATATTAATGTCCTTAATACAATCAGGAGGTTTTTACCTTTAAGCAAATAAATTATGTCATTATTGAAAAAGACTTAAGGGATGATTAGACTTGGCAATCTGTAAGCAGGAGTATAAATGTTTTAAATTGCATTGTCCCTATGTAACTATCTTAATGGCTATATATATGTATTTTATAAAGCCATTTATGTATACACATGTAACTTGGAATTTCCTTCATCCCTACACATTTTCTACACTTACATCACCTTATTGCATAAAACAAAGTCACGCGCTTTCTGCTTGAACATCAAAATATCAAAAACCAAGGTACCCAAAAGATACAAGTCAGAGACAACATCCTTGTCCATATCCAAACCCAGTGTTTCAGTGCTAGCAACTTAATTTCTCATACATTTATAGAGTTTGGTTTGCTTTGCTAGTTGTGTGAATCATTGGGCTGTTTTTAGAGCCACTGTTAAGAGAGAATATAAAATAATCATGACAATTACTACTGTTTCCACATTTACAAATTGTGTACTTAAATGAACCTCATTTCCCTTTTATTTCTGAATGGCTTGTCTGAGAGGAAACAAAATTAAAATTCATCTGGGAATTTGTGCCTCTTGTCTAGTATATAGTCACCACTAAATAATGGCTTCCGTTTTTATTTTCTTTCAGGTTTTGCTTTAAATTTTGTTTTCCAAAATAGATGTACGTGGAGGGAAAAGCAATTATTCTTATCACCTTTTATTTAAACTTCTTTAGATGAATACTGAAGAAAAATCCAAACCTTAAAGGAAATGTGCCCTTGTATTTTATGGGTGAGGGGAAAAAGTACATTTGTACATTTCAACATATAATAAGCAAAAAAATTACTAATCAGTTTAATAAAAACATTTTGTCTATTCCTAAATGTAATTTGGTGGGTTAAGCACTTTGTGTAGTAAAATGATATGTGTCTGCTCTATCATTAGACATTTTAAAGTTTCATGTCTTCACGTGAATAATCACAGTTGTATCATGAACCATTTAGCGCTCTGAAGCACAGTGACTTTGCACTGATATTGTCCAACCAAGAATGCATACGAATAGAAATTCATTTTACTTGCTAAATGTCACAGAAATGGTTACTTTTTGCAAATAGTAGTGTTGGAACAAAAAAGTGATATCCAAAAAGTGTAAAAACAGTAATAAGTAGCAAATCTCTCGTGTGTGTGTGTGTGTAGTTACTGAAACACCTACATTTTCCATTTTTAAATTCCACCAAAAGGGGGAAAATAAAATTAAACACCACTGATCACATTTTATATTTTATGGTGACTATTTTAGATTAAGGTTTACTTTGTCCAACCAATAGCATTTAAATTGTTTTCAATTAGGATAGTTTCAGATAAGAGTAAACCAGAAAATTTCAAGTTTGAAAAATTTCTAGAAAAGAATCTGAATAGAATCAAGTATTTACTAGTGAAAATCTGTAGGATCCTTTGTTTAGCTAAAAATTAAATATTTCAGGATATTTTTTGGAAGTTAGCATGAAAATAGTTAGTTACATAAATTCATTTTATTGTAGAATAATTATAAGACTGATAGGCTGAACCATACACAAATAAGGTTGATCTTGTTTTCCTTTTTGGAGAAAGAGAATACAAATTAACATTAAAATTGAAATGTAGAAAGTAAAATATGAATAATTTTTTACAACCACTCCAAATTAGTTGAAACAAAATCTTGAACGGTCACGCACTTAAATTTAAGCTAGCCAAATATGTTGCACTGAATTTTGAAAAGAATGAGTGAGATAACTGTAAGATACGCTCGTTCCCTTTTAAAAATTGTTATTTTTCTTTAACATGGGTGCCAAATCAAATATCCATGGGCTATACTTCTTAAGATAATAACAGCTCAAAATAATATTTTTTAATTCAGTAGAACTAATAGCATTATGGAAAAGATTCTATTAAATGTTCCACAGGCCCACTGGTCCTCTTATATAAGCCAAATTTTGGCCATGGAGCTTGTGATACACTTGCCTTACATTGTAGGGTTTCTTAATTTGAGTCAAGTACACTGAAAGCAATTAAAAACTGGTAAATATTAATTTACTATGTAAAGTGAACTTACGAATTAACTTACTAAATACATATATGTAGACCTTCCCGAAATGCCATTCTCAATTTTATTTTATGGGCTCCAAAAAAAATTATCTGGGTTAATAAGGTTATCTATTAAAGCCCCCAGAATCTCAGCACTAGATGTCATAAATATGAAATAGTAAAAACAAGGTCACTTGAAAATGGGTATTTAATACCTTAGCTGGTGTTTTCAGAAGCATACAGAACTGGAAAGGTAAGAACTTGCTTACTATTGCAGATATACCTGACCACTCACAACTGTCTTTTTAGCAGCAGCTTTGTTAAAACTGCACAAAGCATTCACTTTATTGATTGAGTACAAATGCTTTAGTGTTTCTACCTAAGTATTAGTACATCTGTTCAGGAAATGGAAAAAAAAAATGCTGCTTAAATTTGTTTTATCAGCTGAGGTTGTGGAGGATTTTTGTCCACTGATCTTTTGCAACAGAAAAGCATACTTTGTCAGCTTCTAATAAGATAGCCAGGTTTGAATTATTTGCAAAATTTATATAAGCAAATAAGATCTCTTGGTAACAATTGACATTGCACTAGAATTTGAATGATACTGTTGTTGGCATTTCTGTTTCTCTTTCAAGTAGTTGTAAATAATCTCTTTTTCTCATATAAACGGAATGCATAATGTCTTACTCTTGAGTCATTTAGTATCATTGATATGGTACCAAGTTGTATAGCAGAGTAACAAAATCATGATTTGACAATGAAATTTACATATTGCCTCACCTAGAGATGTTTTGTCTGTATGACTTTTTTTTTTTTAAGTTTGTCTTACTGTTACTTTAAATGTTTTGGGTAAATTGTGTAATATGAAAAGTTCAATAAAATGTCGAAATAAAGCCACTGTTTTTCTCCTACTGATGTGAGAGAACTATTCAGGCTGGTGGTTAAAGATGAAGTATATTTTTTTAGGTAGAAAGGAAGATCAACAAAATATGTGAAGTTAAACTTTTTTGCACACTATTTTTTAAAATCTCTATAGCCTCCTCACCACATCCCTATGACATTTTTGGAGTTGTGCTGTTTGATTAAGAATAAAATAGATACAGAGAGGAGGTGATTTGTCCTGCATTTCACAACTAGGAGAGTAACAACAGAAAAATGACAAATAGGCAGCTCCAGACTCCCATCCCTCCATGGAAAGAGAAGAAAACAACCAGAAACTGTCAGAACCAACTTTGTCAGACTCTGGAAAACAGTCAAAAGTTTACAGCAACTATGTGAATGTTAAATCAAGAAAAAGGCAACTTATTGTTAGGAAAGCTTTGTGGCTTTGACTTACCTTGGCTCCTGTCTTCTCTGTGGTTCAGTGGCATGGCAGTCTTAAAAATGGCAGCTTGGGTGCCCAGTGTGGGACCTGACCCTTGGTTCTAGAAGGAATAGAACAGACATAACTTGCTGGAAGGGAGTAAAACGATGTATTTATAATGCTGGAAATAAGTAATTTCTTTAAAAGGTTAAATAATGTTATATCTAGCAAAACTACCCTTCAAGAATGAAGGCGAAATTAAGACATTCCCGGATAAACAAAACCTAATGAAGTTTGTTATTAGTAGAACTTTCTTACGAGAAATAAAGGGAGTACATCAGGCTGCAAAGAAAAGACAATAGATAGTAACTTGAAGTCATATAAAGAAATAACACAGGTAAATGTAATTTTATAGGTAAGTATAAAAGCCAGTATTACTGTACTTTTAGTTTGTAACTCCACTCTTTCCTGTATAATTAAAAAGGCAAGTGCATAAAAGTGAATCTATTTTAATGGTCACACAATATATAAAAATATATCTATGACAAGAACAATATAAAGTGAGAGAGATGGAGATGTATAGGAGCAGAGTGTTTGTATACTACTGAAATTAAGTTGATATTCAACTTGTTGTTACATGTTTAAGATGTTGTAGCCCTTGAGATAAACACCAAGAAAATGACTTTAAAAACATACAGAAAAGGGAAGAAGGAAAACAAAATGGTATACTATTAGGAAGGCTGAGGCATGAGAATCACTTGAACCCAGGAGGCAGAGGTTGCAGTCAGCCAAGATTGCACTCCATTGCACTCCAGCCTGGACAACAAGAGCAAAACTATCTCAAAAAAACAAAACAAAACAAAACAAAAGCTCTACTACCAAACAAATCAGTTAATACCAAAAAAGACAGTGATATAGGAATTGAGAAGTAAAAAGCATAAAGATAGAAAACAAATAGCTAAATGGCAGAAGTCTATCATCTGCAGTTACTTTAAATGTAAATAAAAGGCGAGTGGCAAAATTGATTTTTTTAAATGACATATCTGTACTATGTCTACAAGAGACTTATTTTAGATATAAAGACACAGAGTTTGAAAGAAAAAGAAAAGCATTTTCCGTGTAAATTACGAAAAGAAGGGTGGCTGTATTATCAAAGACAATAGATTTTAAGTCAAAGTGGTTAACGAGACAAGGACATCCAACAGAAGGGCTAGGGGCACCATGTTCTCACTAACTGATGAATTGCTTCTTAGCTTAATTTCTACTGGAGCCAACAATGGAAGGCTTCTGAGAGCTTTTGGTAGGTCTTTCCACAGTCCTCTGCATTCCTTTCCCTTCTCCAAGTTGGTAACAACCTGTCTCAATTCTTTGTAATATAGGGACCTTGTAGTTTGTGAGCATCACTCAAGCTCTCTAAATTTTACACTAGAGATCATGTTTTCTCTCCCACTTCCACTATACAATACATAGACATAGAAAAATAAATTACATGGACATAATAAATGTGGAATACATGAATGAACCATAAAATTGTGCACTCATTCTTGTCTACGTATTTTCAAACTTGTTCCCTTTTAGCTAAGGATTTCAACACTTTCAAGTGTCAAGTGACCTTTAGAAGTCATCTCCCATTAAACCTCTCATTTCATAAATGTGTAAACTGAATCCTAAATATGTTTGGTGATTTTACTAAGGTCACAGAATAACAGAGCTGCTACTGCAACCCAGTTCTTCCCACTCCCAGACTAGTCTTTTTCCCCATTACATCACCCTGCCTTTTCTCTTTTATTTACCACTGAGTCTCTCCTTTCTATCTATACATATCTATACATAGAAACACCTGAAACTCTGAACTCTGTGATACTTAATAAACTCTATTTCAAAAAACAAACAAAAAACTATTTATACTTTCCTTATCTCACTTGTTTTCTGTTTTCATTCCATCTTTTGTCTTCCTCACTGGCTTCAGTTTTTAATTGTCCTTAGCATTTTCCAAACTCTGTTATAAGTCTTTATTATTTTGTATCTAGAACATGTCTTCCCACTATGTACTACTTCAATTGGCTCCCCAATATTTATCTTCAGTCTTGATCTCACCTCTAAGCTCCAGACCCATATCCCTATTTCATTTGCATTGGTACTGTGTTCCCCACTGCTGCCTCAAATTCAATGTATTAAAAGCTAAATTTATTATTTTTCTCATAAACTGGTTCTTCCTTTCCCACAGTGTTATAATTTTCCAGTCATATACAATCAAAATTTGAAATCATCTTCAGTTTCTCCCCAGATCTTTCATAGTCAATTATCTAAGTCCTATTATAAAAGAAGACCATGCCTTCGGAGCCTGGAAAACCTGGCTTCGAATTCTAGTTACATGCCACACTAATGAGAGCTCTGATACTCAGTTTTCTCATCTATAAAATGAGGATAAAGCCTTCTTCACTGAAGGTTACATGAGAGTGTCTTTTAAAAACCTGCAATACTGAAAATGTTCACCTTTCCAATCTCCTTTCTACCATAAGTTGTTATTATCTCACGTGTAATAGGTCTTCCCTACAGCCTTACCTTTTAATGATTCTACACTACAATAATATTATTCTTTTTAATTATCTTTTCGTTAACATTGCTTCCCTGCTCAGTTACTTTCAGTGACCACCCAATGCCCATAAAATAGTTGTTAAGTTCGTAATATCCCTCCAGGTTCTTATGCCTTCCTCAAGTCTTGCTGTCTCTTCCCAGCCTTTCTCTGACTACTCTCACTGCTGCCCTACATAAGCAGTGGCTGGTGCTGCTAACACCACTCCTTTCCTACCTTTACATCTTTGTCAAAATTCTGCTCCTACCCAGAATGTATCTGCTCATCTTACCTGTACAAGTCCTACCCATCTTTGGGGTTCGCAACTCAAATCTTAAGTCGCTCAAACAGCAAATGTTTGTTGAGCACTTTTTATATTCTAAACACTCTGATGAAATAGCAGGAGGGAGCTATGAATAAGACACCATCACATGCACAAAGGGCTTTTAGCCAAGCTTTCCCAAGCTACTTCTATTCACATCAATATTTTCTTCTTCAAAGTCTTATTGATCACATCTGTTGGCAAGTATCATGGATTTCTTATTTAACAACTATGTTTATTATTGTTTCAACAAGACTGTAATCTCCAACATAATGATGGCTAAATTTTATGGAATGTCAGATGTGTGCCAAACACTATACTAAATGCTTTACAAATATTATAAGTATTATGTCATTTAATCCTCACTGGGACCCCATGAGGTAGACATTATTATTCTTATTTTATATATTATTACATGGAAATATAACTTAATGATATATATAACTTAAAAATATAACAATATTATAACAACAATTTACCACTCCATCTCACTCCAGCATTTAGGACATTTCTTGGTACATATAAATATTCAAAAGTACAAATTGAGTTTACTTACTATAAGCAAGTAGCTTAAGAGTAGATTATAATTTTACAATGTAGAAGAGGTCCTTTTGATAATCACATTCTCATATTTATAAAACGAGTTCAGAACTCCTAGAATTGTCAGCCTGAAATTTAACCTGAAGCTGGGAACCATCCAGGGATCTGTCTCGAGGGATGGCTGACAGCCTCAAAATAAACCTACATTTGTAAGACTATTCAGAGAATCTCTCTGCCCCCAAATCAGATTTTACTGGAATCTGATTGAAACTATTTTAAAACAAATGTATAAAGTGTGTCAAGCAAACTGTTTTTGGCTGTTGTAAAATCTAATTCATCTGATCTAACCTGTTGATAAAGGGAAACTTTCCATGTCTCCCTCTAACACACAGTGCCCAGGGAAAATATGTGTTTGAAATAATGCCTTCTTTAATTACTGGTTTAGTCACAAGATTTCCGCATCCAACAATGGAAACATAGGGCCCAGCTGCATTTCATTTTTTTTAAAGGGCTTATGATGTGATGCAACTGGTGAGCACATGACTTCTTTGGGCTAGCTGAATTAGTTCTGAGCCAGACAGAAAAGAAAGATGTATGGCCTGGATCTTGGGGAAAGGATAAACTTGGTATGCTCGCGCATTGAATAATGAAAGAGGTTCATTCTCATTTACAAAGTTTGCCATAATTGCTACAGAAAAATCCACAACACTGACATCATTCTCAATCTTTAATAAACCAAAGAGAAGGTAAATAGAAAACTATATCTATTGCTTATTTTTGATGGTAGCATTTTCTTTAATTAGATCCTGAAGGTTAGGTTCTTTCCCAGTACAACAAAAAGGCTCTATTTATGATGAATCTGTAAAAATATCTGACCCCACTTAAAATAAAACTGGAATATTTATAGTGACATACATCTATGTACACAGTATAGCCAAATAAGGCAACATTTGGTAATTCTTCCGATCTCTGATCTCTATTAAAAATACTCACTTTCAAAATGTAAGGTAATAGATGAGCCACAGACTGGGAGAAAATATTTGCCAAACATAAATCTGATTAAGGTCATGTATCTAAAATATACAGAAAAACTTCTAAGACTCAATAACAAGAAAGTAAACAGTGCAATCAAAAAGTGAGCAAAAGATATGAGCATACAGACACCCAGACATCTCAACAAAGAAGACACACAGATGACAAATAAGCACAGGAAAAGATGTTCAACATTATACATGACTAAAAATTGCAAATTAAAATAACAGTGAAATGACACTACATACCTAGCAGAATGGCTAAAATCCCAAACACTGACAACACCAAATGCTATTAAGGTTGTGGAGCAATAGAAACTCTCACTCATTACTAGTGGGAATGTAAATGGTACAGCCATTTTAGAAGACAGTTTAACAGTTTCTTTCAAAACTCAACATGTCTTATCACACAATTAAGCAATCATGCTTCTAGATATTTACCTGAGTACAAAACATGTCCACACAAAAGCCTGCACATGAGCATGTGTAGCAGCTTTATTCATAACTGCTAAAACTTGAATGGATAAACAAACTATGGTACATATGTGCAATAGGATACTATTCAGTGATGAAAAATAAATTGTCATCACAAAAAGACATGGAAAAACCTTAAATATACATACTAAAAGAAAAAAGTCAGTCTGAAAGGTAATATGCCATATGATTGCAACTATATGATATCCTAGAAAAGGCAAAAGTGTAGAGACAGTAAAATGGTCCATAGTTGCCATGGGTTCAAAAGTAAGGAAGAGAGAGAGGGATGGATAGGTAAAACATAGTGGATTTTTAGGGCAGTGAAAATATTCTGTATAATACTATAATGGTGGATATATGACATTATACATTTATTGAAACCCACAGAATGCATAAGGCAAACAGTTAAAGTTAATGTACAGTATAGACTTCAGTTAATAATAATACATTAATACCAGTTCACTAATTGTAGCAAATGTATCATATAAATGCAAAATAGAGGAAACTGTGGCATGGAGCAGGGCAGTATATGGGAACACTCTGTACTACCTGCTCAATTTTTCTGTAAATTTAAAACTGCTCTAAAAAACGAAGTCTCTTAATTTAAAAAACTTTTTAATCTCTAAACTCATTTTCTTTAATGTTAAATAGCATATATAATCATAGTAAAATAAACAAGAACAGAAAATTAACATTGGAATTATTAACCAGAAACTTTGTTTAAATTTCACCTTTTCTCACCTTTTTTGGTGTCCTTTTTCTGTTTCAGGACTCTATCTAGGATCTCACATTACATTTAACAGTCAAAGTTCCACAGTCTATCTTTGTCTTTCATAATCTTGAGAATTTGAAGAGTACTAATCAGTTATTTCACAGTTTACCCTTCAATGTGGATTTGTCTAATGTTTTCCTATGCTTGAAATGAGATTGTGTGTTTTTTGCAAAACTGCCACAGAAATAGTATTGTGTTTTTTTTCTCATCAAGGGATTCATATGTTGCTACGTCTTATGACCTTGTTCATATGTTGCTATGTCTTATGACCTTATTCATATGTTGCTACGTCTTATAACCTTGAATACTCGGGTAAGCTGGTGTCTGTTGAGTTTCTTCTCTGTAAAGTTACTGTCTTTTCCTTTGTAGTTAATATAAATACCTTAAAAGAAATAATTTGAAGCTGCAAATTTTATTTATCTTCAAATTTTACCCACTAACTTTAGTATCCCTTCGTGGATCTTGCCTGAAAAAATTATTACTGTGGTGTTAGCCCAATGTTAAATCTCTATGCCTATCTTTTAAATTTACTAGTTGGAAAAGTGTAAGAAACAACTTTCCCTTTTCTGCAGTTTATTCAAGAGTTTACATATACCAGTATAAACTCATAGATAGAAGAGTTCATTTAAATGTTGAATCAAAATTTATGAAAAGGATATGATACCTGTGAATATCCATGCACCAAATAACACAGCAACCACTTATGAAGCAAAACTACTCAGGGTGTAATGAAGCAGATGGAAGCCAATGATAGAATATTTTAATATGCTATTCTCAGGAGGACAGATAAAATAGATAAAAATAAGTGTTGATATTAAAGAACTAAACAACATGAACAATCATTTAGACTTTATGAATATAGATCAAACGTTATATCTTAATAGCATAACATTGAAATACATTGTATTAATAGAATGCTCACAAATGTTGATCATATGTTAGGTTACAAAGTCAGTATCAGTAAGTTCCATTAAGTAGAAATATAAGAATTATTCTCTAACTACCATTAATTAAAAAAAACCTAGAAATTATTAACAAAAATTTTTTAAAATGTCCTTTTCCCTAAAAATTGATAAATATCTTTACTAAATAGCTCTTGGGTACAGAAGATATAAAAACTGGAAATATTGATAATAAGGCTACATATTAGAATCTATGGAATACATTTAAAGCATGATCAAAGAAAAACTCATAGTACTAGAAAATTTTATCAATAAAAAAATATTTAAAATAAATTAATTCAATTCTAAGCTTTAAAAAAGAAAAATTATAACAAAATAAACAGAAAGCAAAATTAAATATATACCTCAGACTATATTCAAGAAGAAACTCTAAATGAATCAAGAAACTACATGTGAAAAAAAAACAAGAAAGGAAAAGGAAAAAACAAACAGCATAAGTACTAAAAGAAAATGCAGGTGAATTTCTTTAACCCTCATGTGAGAAATGTATTCTAACTGTGATTGGAAATCTAGAGACCATAAAATATAAAATTAATAAATGTGGCTATATAAAATTTTAAAAATCTAAATGTCAAAAAGCCCATAAACATATTCAAAATACAACTGACACTAGAAGAAGCTATTTGCAACATAGTAAAGAGCTATTATTCCTAATATGTAAAAATCTTAAAAATGGATGGAAGAAAGTTAAAAAAAGAATTTCATAGGAAAATGTACAAAAGATAGAGCACAGAAAATTTATTTACTATATATAAAAATGGCCTATAAGTATAGAATAAACTTGTCAACCTCACTCATAATTAGATATGTAAATTAAAACTACACTGATACCATTTCTCAAATATGAGATTAAATAAAATGTAAAAGTGTGACAACATCTTTTGGCTAGGTAATGGAGAAATAGACAGTCTCATGCGTTACTGGTAGAAATACAACTAACAAAACTCTTTTGGGGGAGAATTTAGCAACGTCTAACAAAAAAATAAATACACAATTACTATTGACCAAGCAATCTCTTATGTTGTAATTTATCTTAAAGATACACCTTGAACAAGATTAAAATATGTATTTCCATGATTATTTATTTGAGTTTTGTTTGTGATTGTAAAATATTGAAAACCACAAAAGTGCTTTTACAAAGAAGTATGATTGAATATACCATAGTATGTCCATATGAGTTCTATACAGCTATAAAAAAATGAGAATGTTCTCCATATGGTGTGATTTCTGTTATATAAAAGTACAAATGTCTCAGTTATGAAAGGAAAAGAAAGTAAATAAACAGACATTTAGGGAAAGAGAAAATATTTGTTATTGAAATGATTTGAGATATAATATGTTAGCTATTACGCAAAGGCTCAATCCATATTTGTTCCATCCCTCCAGAGCTATTAGGCCTGCTTTGGGTACCTTCAGGTAATAAGCTGATGCCCCCCCATGCCTCCTTTAGAGATATGCAGATGGGAACACCTTAATATTTCCACTGCATCTCAATAACCTGTCTGGAAATTAAGAAATTGAAAGGTAACCAGACTAGATCTCATCAGTGATCAAGAGGAAGGAGATCATCAATTCATCTGTCCACTTTATCTGAACCCAGCTTCTGAAGATAATGATGTGTCTTAAGAAAAATCTCTAAAGGGTTATATAACGAAGTCCAACAGAATTAACCAATTCAATGAGAAATATTTATCGAGCACCAACCCTGTGTCAATAACTGTTCCAGATGACTAACAGATATCACTAAACGAAACAGACAAAACCCCTGTCTTCATGGAGCTTATCTTCTCACTACATATGTGTTTGTATCAATCTCTCTATCGATCTTTATGTCTCTATAGCTACCTTTATCTATATGAATAATAATATGCATTAGGGTGTTGTTGGGCTACCATAATAATGCATTATAGACTGACTGTCTTAAACAGTAGAAATGTATTTCCTCTCAGTTCTGGAGGCTAGAAGTCTGAGATCAAGGTGTCAGCAGGGTTGGTTTCTTTTGAAACCTCTCTCTTTTGGCTTGCAGAAGGGATAGCTGCCTTCTTGCTGCCTCCTTATATGGCCTTCTGTCTGTGCATGCACTTCGCTGGTGTCTCTGTCTGTCCCAATCTCCTCTGACAAGGATATCACTCAGATTGCACTAGGGCCCATCCCAATGGCCTTCTTTTAACTTAATTTCCTCTTTAGAGGTCCTATCACCAAGGACAGACACATTCTAAGGCACTGGGGCTAGAGCTTCAATATATGAATTTTAGGGGGAACACAATCCAGTCCATTAACACAATACAAGTCAGGCTATAATTCAAAAGAGTGCATTCCACATGATCCACTGAAATTTCTACATACATATAATATTAAGGCAAACTAGAATGTAAACACCATCGAGATTAGGAAGAAACTGCATCAACTAACGAGCAAAATAACCAGCTAACATCATAATGACAGGATCAAATTCACACATAACAATATTAACTTTAAATGTAAATGGACTAAATGCTCCAATTAAAAGACACAGACTGGCAAATTGGATAAAGAGTCAAGACCCTTCAGTGTACTGTATTCAGGAAACCCATCTCACGTGCAGAGACACATAGAGGCTCAAAATAAAAGGATGGAGGAAGATCTACCAAGCAAATGGAAAACAAAAAAAGGCAGGGGTTGCAATCCTAGTCTCTGATAAAACAGACTTTAAACCAACAAAGATCAAAAGAGACAAAGAAGGCCATTACATAATGGTAAAGGGATCAATTCAACAAGAAGAGCTAACTATCGTAAATATATATGCACCCAATACAGGAGCACCAAGATTCATAAAGCAAGTCCTGAGTGACCTACAAAGAGACTTAGACTCTCACACATTAATAATGGGAGACTTTAACACCCCACTGTCAACATTAGACAGATCAATGAGACAGAGAGTCAACAAGGATACCCAGGAATTGAACTCAGCTCTGCACCAAGTGGACCTAATAGACATCTACAGAACTCTCCACCCCAAATCAACAGAATATACATTTTTTTCAGCACCACACCACACCTATTCCAAAATTGACCACATACTTGGAAGTAAAGCTCTCCTCAGCAAATGTAAAAGAACAGAAATTGTAACAAACTATCTCTCAGACCACAGTGCAATCAAACTAGAACTCAGGATTAAGAATCTCACCCAAAACCGCTCAACTACATGGAGACTGAACAACCTGCTCCTGAATGACTACTGGGTACATAACGAAATGAAGGCAGAAATAAAGATGCTCTTTGAAACCAATGAGAACAAAGACACAACATACCAGAATCTCTGGGACACATTCAAAGCAGTGTGTAGAGGGAAATTTATAACACTAAATGCCCACAAGAGAAAGCAGGAAAGATCCAAAATTGACACCCTAACATCACAATTAAAAGAACTGGAAAAGCAAGAGCAAACATATCCAAAAGCTAGCAGAAGGCAAGAAACAACTAAAATCAGAGCAGAACTGAAGGAAATAGAGACACAAAAAACCCTTCAAAAAATTAATGAATCCAGGAGCTGGTTTTTTGAAAGGATCAACAAAATTGATAGACCACAAGCAAGACTAATAAAGAAAAAAAGAGAGAAGAATCAAATAGACACAATAAAAAATGATAAAGGGGATATCACCACCGAATCCCACAGAAATACAAACTACCATCAGAGAATACTACAAACACCTCTACGCAAATAAACTGGAAAATCTAGAAGAAATGGATAAATTCCTCGACACATACACTCTCCCAAGACTAAACCAGGAAGAAGTTGAATCTCTGAATAGACCAATAACAGGATTTGAAATTGTGGCAATAATCAATAGCTTACCAACCAAAAAGAGTCCAGGACCAGATGGATTCACAGCCGAATTCTACCAGAGGTAAAAGGAGGAACTGGTACCATTCCTTCTGAAACTATTCCAATCAACAGAAAAAGAGGGAATCCTCCCTAACTCATTTTATGAGGCCAGCATCATTCTGATACCAAAGCCAGGCAGAGACACAACAAAAAAAGAGGATTTTAGACCAATATCCTTGATGAACATTGATGCAAAAATCCTCAATAAAATACTGGCAAAACGAATCCAGCAGCACATCAAAAAGCTTATCCACCATGATCAAGTGGGCTTCATCCCTGGGATGCAAGGCTGGTTCAATATATGCAAATCAATAAATGTAATCCAGCATATAAACAGAGCCAAAGACAAAAACCACATGATTATCTCAATAGATGCAGAAAAAGCCTTTGACAAAATTCAACAAACCTTCATGCTAAAAACTCTCAATAAATTAGGTATTGATGGGACATATCTCAAAATAATAAGAGCTATCTATGACAAACCCACAGCCAATATCATACTGAATGGGCAAAAACTGGAAGCATTCCCTTTGAAAACTGGCACAAGACAGGGATGCCCTCTCTCACCACTCCTATTCAACATAGTGTTGGAAGTTCTGGCCAGGGCAATTAGGCAGGAGAAGGAAATAAAGGGTATTCAATTAGGAAAAGAGGAAATCAAATTGTCCCTGTTTGCAGACAACATGATTGTATATCTAGAAAACCCCATTGTCTCAGCCCAAAATCTCCTTAAGTTGATAAGCAACTTCAGCAAAGTCTCAGGATACAAAATCAATGTACAAAAATCACAAGCATTCTTATACACCAACAACAGACAAACAGAGAGCCAAATCATGAGTGAACTTCCATTCACAATTGCTTCAAACAGAATAAAATACCCAGGAATCCAACTTACAAGGGATGTGAAGGACCTCTTCAAGGAGAACAACAAACCACTGCTCAAGGAAATAAAAGAGGATACAAACAAATGGAAGAACATTCCATGCTCATGGGTAGGAAGAATCAATATCGTGAAAATGGCCATACTGCCCAAGGTAATTTATAGACTCAATGCCATCCCCATCAAGCTACCAATGCCTTTCTTCACAGAATTGGAAAAAACTACTTTAAAGTTCATATGGAACCAAAAAAGAGCCCACATCACCAAGTCAATCCTAAGCCAAAAGAACAAAGCTGGAGGCATCACACTACCTGACTTCAAACTATACTACAAGGTTACAGTAACCAAAACAGCATGGTACTGGTACCAAAACAGAGATATAGATCAATGGAACAGAACAGAGCCCTCAGAAATAATGCCGCATATCTACAACTATCTGATCTTTGACAAACCTGAGAAAAACAAGCAATGGGGAAAGGATTCCCTATTTAATAAATGGTGCTGGGAAAACTGGCTAGCCATATGTAGAAAGCTGAAACTGGATCCATTCCTTACACCTTATACAAAAATTAATTCAAGATGGAATAAAGACTTAAACATTAGACCTAAAACCATAAAAACCCTAGAAGAAAACCTAGGCATTACCATTCAGGACTTAGGCATGGGCAAGGACTTCATGTCTAAAACACCAAAAGCAATGGCAACAAAAGACAAAACTGACAAATGGGATCTAATTAAACTAAAGAGCTTCTGCACAGCAAAAGAAACTACCATCAGAGTGAACAGGCAACCTACAAAATGGGAGAAAATTTTCACAACCTACTCATCTGACAAAGGGCTAATATCCAGAATCTACAATGAACTCCAACAAATTTACAAGAAAAAAACAAACAACCCCATCAAAAAGTGGGCGATGGACATGAACAGACACTTCTCAAAAGAAGACATTTATGCAGCCAAAAAACACATGAAAAAATGCTCATCATCACTGGCCATCAGAGAAATGCAAATCAAAACCACAATGAGATATCATCTCACACCAGTTAGAATGGTGATCATTGAAAAGTCAGGAAACAACAGGTGCTGGAGAGGATGTGGAGAAATAGGAAGACTTTTACAGTGTTGGTGGGACTGTAAACTAGTTCAACCATTGTGGAAGTCAGTGTGGCGATTCCTCAGGGATCTAGAACTAGAAATACCATTTGACCTAGCCATCCCATTACTGGGTATATACCCAAAGGACTATAAATCATGCTGCTATAAAGACACATGCACACGTATGTTTATTGTGGCATTATTCACAATAGCAAAGACTTGGAACCAACCAAAATGTCCAACAATGATAGACTGGATTAAGAAAATGTGGCACATATACACCATGGAATACTATGCAGCCATAAAAAATGATGAGTTCATGTCCTTTGTAGGGACATGGATGAAACTGGAAATCATCATTCTCAGTAAACTATCACAAGAACAAAAAGCCAAACACTGCATATTCTCACTCATAGGTGGGAATTGAACAATGAGATCACATGGACACAGGAAGGGGAATATCACACTCTGGGGACTGTTGTGGGATGGGGGGAGGGGGGAAGGATAGCATTGGGAGATATACCTAATGCTAGATGACGAGTTAGTGGATGCAGCGCACCAGCATGGCACATGTATACATATGTAACTAACCTGCACAATGTGCACATGTACCCTAAAACTTAAAGTATAATAAAAAAAAAGAAATTTGTTGGTTTAATTAAAAAAAAATATTGTCCCTGAAAAGGACATGAACTCATCCTTTTTTATGGCTGCCTACTATTCCATGGTGTATATGTGCCACATTTTCTTTATCCAGTCTGTTACTGATGGACATTTGGGTTGGTTCCAACTCTTTGCTATTGTGAATAGTGCTGCAATAAACACACGTGTGCATGTGTCTTTATAGCAGAATTATTTATAATCTCATAGGTACATGCCTAGTAATGGGATTGCTGGGTCAGATGGTATTTCTACTTCTAGTTCCTTGAGTAATCACCAAACTGTCTTCCACAATGGTTTAACTAATTTACACTCCCAGGAACAGTGTAAAAGCGTTCCTATTTCTCTACGTCCTCTCCAGCATCTGTTGTTTCCTGACTTTTTAATGATCACCATTCTAACTGGCATGAGATTGTATCTCAGTGTGGTTTTGATTTGCATTACTCTAATGACCAGTGATGATGAGCATTTTTTCATATGTCTGTTGGCTGCATAAATGTCTTCTTTTGAGATGTGTCCTTTCATATCCTTTGCTCACTTTTTGATGGGGTTGTTTTTTTCTTGTTAATTTGTTTAGGTTCTTTGTAGATTCTGGATATTAGCCCTTTGTCATGTGGATAGATTGCAAAAATTTTCTCCCCTTCTATAGGTTGCCTGTTCACTCTGATGATAATTTCTTTTGCTGTGCAGAAGCTCTTTAGTTTAATACGATCCCATTTGTCAATTTTGGCTTTTGATGTAATTGCTTTTGGTGTTTCAGTCATGAAGCCTTTGCCCACACCTATGTCCTGAATAGTATTGCCCAGGTTTTCTTCTAGGATTTTTATGGTCCTAGGTCTTATGTTTAAGTATTTGATCCAACTTGAGTTGGCTTTTGTAGAAGGTGTAAGGAAGGGATCCAGTTTCAGTTTTCTGCTTATGGCTAGCCAGTTTTCCCAACACCAGTTATTAAATAGGGAATCCTTTCCCCATTGCTATGATTTCTGTTCTTTTGCATTTGCTGAGGAATGTTTTACTTCCAAATATATGGTCAATTTAGAGTAAGTGTGATGAGGTGCTGAGAAGAATGTATATTCTCTTGATTTGGGGTGGAGAGTTCTGTAGACGTCTATTAAGTCCACCTGGTCCAGAGCTGAGTTCAAGTCCTGAATATTCTAGTTAATTTTCTGTCTCGTTGATCAGTCTAACATTAAAAGTGAGGTGTTAAAATCTCCCACTATTATTGTGTGGGAGTCTAAGTCTCTTTGTAGGTCTCTAAGAACTTGCTTTATGAATCTGGGTTCTCCTGTAGTGGGTGCATATATATTTAGAAGAGTTAGCTCTTCTTGCTGCATTGATCCCTTTACCATTATGTAATCCCCTTCTTTATCTTTTTTGATCTTTGTTGGTTTAAAGTCTGTTTTATCAGAGATTAGGATTGCAACTCCTGCTCTTTTTGCTTTCCATTTGCTTGATAAATATTCTTCCATCCCTTTATTTTGAGCCTATGTGTGTCTTTGCATGTGAGATGTGTTTCCTGAATACAGCACACTGATGGATCTTGACTCTTTATCTAATTTGCCAGTCTGTGTCTTTTAGTTGGGGCATTTAGTTCATTTACACTTAAGGTTAATATTGTTATGTGTGAATTTGATCCTGTCATTATGATGCTAGCTGGTTGTTTTGCCCATTAGTTGATGCAGTTTCTA
Source organism: Homo sapiens (assembly GCF_000001405.40). Taxonomy (NCBI): domain Eukaryota; kingdom Metazoa; phylum Chordata; class Mammalia; order Primates; family Hominidae; genus Homo; species Homo sapiens. The sequence goes on from NC_000005.10 coordinate 110,780,432, forward strand.
TATAGTGTATATGTTCTTTACAATTTGGTATGTTTTTGCAGTGGCTGATACTGGTTATTCCTTTCCATGTTTAGTGCTTCCTTAAGGAGCCCTTGTAAGGCAAGCCTGGTGGTGCCAATATCTCTCAGCATTTGCTTGTCTGTAATGGATTTTATTTCTCCTTCGCTTATGAAGCGTAGTTTGGCTGGATATGAAATTCTGGGTTGAAAATTCTTTTCTTTAAGAATGTTGAATATTGGCCCCCATTCCCTTCTGGCTTGTAAGGTTTCTGCAGGAGAGGCTAACATTCAAATTCAGGAAATACAGAGAACACCACAAAGATACTCCTCAAGAAGAGCAACACCAAGACACATAATCATCAGATTCACCAAGGTTGAAATGAAGGAAAAAATGTTAAGGGCAGCCAGAGAAAAGTCAGGTTACCCATAAAGGGAAGCCCATCAGACCAATATGTTTTTATTTCTGAGATTAGTAATGATGGGGCAAAATCATTTTTATGAACTATGGTGTCTGTTTCCATTGGTCGCATATTAGGATCATTGCCAAAATCATGGTATGACGTGGCTTGTGTGTTATTTCTCCTGCAGGCCCACAAACATTGGCTCCTTGGCTCACTAAGATATTCTGCAAAGTACATAATTAATGTAATGTATTATTTTTCTTCTTAAACTATTTAGAGAGATTTTGTTTGCAACTAGAAACACTAACACAGAAATTGATGCTAGGAGAATTAATCCTAAACAAAATAATTTCCTGAACTAAATTTGCTCTCCATCACATTCTCTATCACAGATCTTCGTTTCTTTTTTTCTTAGCAGAAATCCCAACTGATAAAATATTATGTATTTCTTTGTTCACTATGCCCTCTTACAAAATGTGAGTCCATAGGGACAGGGCAGGGATCCTGTCTCTCTTCTTATTTTCTCTCTAAATTTCAGCATATTTCCTGTCATGGACTCAAATATTTAATGAGAGAAGAAATTAGGAAGAAACTCTTTCCTTTGATACTGTAGAAAAGAATAAGAAAGGGCACAAACCTAAATATGTCTGAGGTGCGATGGAAGGAAATTGAAGAAATTATATAAGACATTCTAAAATGTATTTTACATTCCTTAGATATTAGAGAATATAAATCAAAACAGCTTTTTTATAGTTTGGGATTATCATTATAACCATCAATTCCTGTTTGTGTCTCAATAAGACTAGGAAAGGACTGAAATGCCATATACCTGAACATGGGTTGTGATGGTTAGTACTACATATCAACTTGATTGGGCTGAGAGATGCCTAGATGGCTGGTAAAGTATTCTTTCTCGATATAACTGTGAGTGTATAACCAGAGGGGATTGACATCTGAGTCAGTGAACTAGGAGAGGAAAACCCACTCTCAATGTAGGTGGGTACCATCTAATTGCCTGCCAGCACAGCTAGAACAGTGCAGATGGAAGAAGCGGGGATAAACTTGCTTGCTGAATCTTCCACTTCTCTTTCTTCCCTTGTTGGACACTTGCTTCCTCTCTTTCTGCCCTTGGACATCAGGCTCCAGGTTCTTTGGCCTTTGGACTCTAGAACTTGTACCAGTGGCCTCCTTCTCAGATCTTCAGCTGCAGACTGAAGTTTTACTGTCATCTTCCCTGGTTTTGAAGCTTTTTGACTTGGTCTGAGCCCCTACTACCTCTGTCTTTCCCCAGCTTGCAGTTGGCCTGTCTTGGGACTTTGCTGTGTAATTGGGTGAGCCAATTCTCTCTATGAAACTTCCTTTGTATGTTCATATATCCTATTGGTTCTGCTCCCTTAGAGAACTTGGACTACTACACTGGAGTTCCCATGCTGCCTTAGTCTGTTTGTGTTGCTGTAAAGGAATACCTGAGGCCGGGTAATTTATAAAGAAAGAAGCTTATTTGGCTCATGATGCTGAAGGCTGTACAAGAAGCATGGTGAGGGCCTCAGGTTGCTTCCACACATGGAGAAAGGTGAAGGGAATCACGTGTGCAGTGATTGCATGGTGAGAGAGGAAGCAAGAGGGGGTGGGGGAGGTGCCCAGCTCTTTTTAACTAATAGAATGATAACTCACTCACCTCCCCCACCACAAAAAGGCAGGGCATTAATCTATTCATGAACGATCTGCCCTATGACCCAAACACCTCCCCATTAGGCCTCACCTCCAACAATGGGGATCAAAATTCAAGAAGAGATTTTGAATGCACCAACCATCCAAATTATAACACTTTCCCATTCTCATTTTTCTTAGTTCCTTCTCAGCTATCCTCATGATCACTTCTTGTATTATTTGTAAATTGCCTGGTGCCTGACTTCGAGAAGTTTGTAATAAGAAGAAAATGAATTTTGGAATTAAATAAATCTGGTTGTGAATGCCACCTGTACTCTTCATGACTGGTTTGTTCTTGGGACAGTCATTTAAATACTGATCTTCAGTTTTCTTTTTTTTTATTTTTCTATTTTATTTTATTATTATTATACTTTAAGTTTTAGGGTACATGTGCACAATGTGCAGGTTTGTTACATATGTATACATGTGCCATGTTGGTGTGCTGCACCCACTAACTCGTCATTTAGCATTAGGTATATCTCCTAATGCTATCCCTCCCCCCTCCCCCCAATCCACAACAGTCCCAAGATTGTGATGTTCCCCTTCCTGTGTCCATGTGTTCTCATTGTTCAGTTCCCACCTATGAGCTAGAACATGTGGTGTTTGGTTTTTTGTCCTTGCGATAGTTTGCTGAGAATGATAGTTTCCAGTTTCATCCATGTCCCTACAAAGGACATGAACTCATCATTTTTTATGGCTGCATAGTATTCCATGGTGTATATGTGCCACATTTTCTTAATCCAGTCTATCATTGTTGGACATTTGGGTTGGTTCCAAGTCTTTGCTATTGTGAATAGTGCCACAATAAACATACATATGCATGTGTCTTTATAGCAGCATGATTTATAATCCTTTGAGTATATACCCAGTAATGGGATGGCTGGGTCAAATGGTATTTCTAGTTCTAGATCCCTGAGGAATTGCCACACTGACTTCCACAATGGTTGAACTAGTTTACAGTCCCACCAACAGTGTAAAAGTGTTCCTATTTCTCCACATCCACTCCAGCACCTGTTGTTTCCTGACTTTTGAATGATTGCCATTCTAACTGGTGTGAGATGGTATCTCATTGTGGTTTTGATTTGCATTTCTCTGATGGCCAGTGATGATGAGCATTTTTTCATGTGTCTTTTGGCTGCATAAATGTCTTCTTTTGAGAAGTGTCTGTTCATATCCTTTGCCCACTTTTTGATGGGGTTGTTTGTTTTTTTCTTGTAAATTTGTTTGAGTTCATTGTAGATTCTGGATATTAGCCCTTTGTCAGATGAGTAGGTTGCGAAAATTTTCTCCCATTTTGTAGGTTGCCTGTTCACTCTGATGGTAGTTTCTTTTGCTGTGCAGAAGCTCTTTAGTTTCATTAGATCCCATTTGTCAATTTTGTCTTTTGTTGCCATTGCTTTTGGTGTTTAGACATGAAGTCCTTGTCCATGCCTATGTCCTGAATATTGCCTAGGTTTTCTTCTACGGTTTCTATGGTTTTAGGTCTAACATTTAAGTATTTAATCCATCTTGAATTAATTTTTGTATAAGGTGTAAGGAAGGGATCTAGTTTCAGCTTTCTACACATGGCTAGCCAGTTTTCCCAGCACCATTTATTAAATAGGGAATCCTTTCCCCATTGCTTGCTTTTGTCAGGTTTGTCAAAGATCAGATAGTTGTAGATATGCGACATTATTTCTGAGGGCTCTGTTCTGTTCCATTGGTCTGTATCTCTGTTTTGGTACCAGTACCATGCTGTTTTGGTTACTGTAGCCTTGCAGTTTTCTTTTTAATAAAATAAAAATAGTAATATACCTAACCTAACAAAAATAGTAATATACCAACCTAACAAAAATGTTGAAAAATGTAATAAAATGTGTGTAAGGTTGTGATATATAGTAGGTTCTCAATAAAAGGCAACTGTTATAAGAAAATTGATCTTATTAATTTTAGAACTCAGCATTTTGTCCATTTCTTTGCTTTAAGAGGTGCCTGATAAATGTTTGACAAATTGAATTCTCTTTGTTCATTAATCTATTTTCTTATTATTTTATTACAACTTCTTTCCTGTTAATGCTATCACTTCTAAATATTATAAACTCTCTCTTCTCTCTTTTGTTTCTTTTTGGATTTTCTCTTTCCAATTACAGCCATTTCTTCATGGCATAGTTACAGTAAAATTTGATTTGTGTATATATCTCATGAGACAGTACTTGTCCTAGATGAAAAATCATGCAGCTATTTTCTCTCTTCTCCCATCTCTGAATGTCATTTTAGTTTTGTTTCCCTGGTCTCTCTCCTCAAGCAAATACAGTTTTAATTCTTTTTGCTTCTGTGGTTAAAGGGATCAGCTGAGGGTATTTATTTTCAATATGCCTTGCTGATTAAGGAGGATATCTATAAAACAGCCTCTTTTAATATTTCTATTGAAGTACCTCCCAGATAAATTTTTTTTTCAAAAAGGAAAACTCAAGCACTAAAAACCAAGAATGTCAGTCAACATACTGCCAGAACCTTGGAGGTTTTCACACTTAGTAAATACTCTGAAACTTCACTGTAACTTGCTACCTAAGGGTGACTCACAGGGAATAAAGCATTTCTGAATTTTCAAATGTGGGTAGAGATGCTATCTATCTTTTTACTCCCATTGGCTTCCAATCATTATTTTTGTAGGTTAGTCAAGGAAGAAAACTTCATAATTATTTGTTGACAGAGTACTAATGCTAACAAATGGCTTGAATTGCCAGGAAAAACTCCCATATAAGACTCTCATAGGGTTCAATAACTAAGTCCTTAGGCTTTATAGATACAAGGAGCTCCTCAAGTAGCTTGAAAAGCCCAGAGTTTTGTAATTGTCTTCTCTGTGACCCAACCCTATGATTTTAGACTTAGACTGACAAACTTTAGAGTTTGGCAACATAACCTCCTTAGAGATAAGTCATCTTTTTGGCTGTCTTAGGGTAGATGTGGGTTTATTTTGTTTTTACAAGTGTTTGCTCTTCCTCCCACTCACTCTACCACATGCAAGCCTATTAGCACAAGTACGAAAGGTTGGATGTGGTGTCAAAGACTATATCTGACTAATGGTAATGATGTGTATCAATTGCTTAACCTTGCCTTGTACTAATAGCTGTTGCACCAGTGGCTGGCAAAGATGGGCATTCATTTGATTTGGCTTTTGTAGTTTGTAGTGGTCCACCTAGTCACTTGTGGTGGCTTTGAATTTGGTTAATTGTAACTTTTCTGTGGATTACTTGGATCAAGATAAACAGTATTTGATGACTTTGATAAATTTATTTCTAGTGATATAATTTGGGGAGAGAAACTTAAAAAGATAAAAATCTACTTTTCAGGGAAGCCAGCATATAGAAACAGAAAACTATAGAGTTTTATAGAATTGATAAAGAGACATGAGTCACAGATATAATATTTTAGAGAAAGTAAGCAAAAAGTATGCACAGCAAACTTCGGTGGGAAAATATGACCTCTGCACAACATGTTCTGAATTGGAAATTAAGGATCTCTATTCAAAGGAGAAATCAAAGTCTAGTCTGTTCTCCCATTCCTTGTATAGGTGCATTTACTTGTCAACTTTTACATAAGACATATTAGAGATGGTTCTTTTATGGTGGTGTTATTTCCCTACCCATCACGGTTTTAACAAGAGGCTTTTTGCTAGGGTTTCACAGTCTGCATGTAGATAGGGTATGGCCTGTTGCTAGACTTGAGTTCTAGAATAACCTAGTTCTAGATTATTCTCATATTTTCTCTTTACTCTTGTACCTTGTCTTGAAATCCAATACCCTGTCATATCTTTGCTTTTACACATCCCATAATGTAGACCGATAAAATACCTAACCTGACTTGGATTTCTAAAGCAACAAAGCTGACAATGAATAAATGTCCTGAAACTTAAAACAGCAAAGAGATGCATTCTTTTACTCATATTGGTAAAAAAATTTAAAAATTCATAATAAAAAGTATTGGCAGTTTGCAGGAGGAAAGGGATTCTTACACACTGCTGGAGATGGGACCAAGTGGTACAATACACAAAGAAAATATTGGCAATACCCATTGAAATTTTTAAATGCACTGATCTGAAAGCCTAGGAATTCTTTTTCTAGGTATCTACAGACTGGAAAAAGCACTTGCGCATATTTACAAAGAGACATATATAAGAATAATTTTGCAATACTAAAATAATATTTAATACTGAATAATTGGAAGTTTCCAAAATTATAACTAATTTACTTCCAGATTATCAAATACAATGCAGCAGGGAGAAGAAAAGCAATTTAAAAAGTGGGATACACCAATTACTAGCATTTATAAAGAAAACAGGAATAAACCCACTCTAAAACACACACATGCAAACATAAATGTAACTATATTATATATATACATATATGTTTATATGTATATATTGCCCAAGAAACTATACTTTTGCATACAAATGCATAGAAAATGTTTGGAGGAATATACAACAGAGGCAACCACTATACTTTTCAAATATAACTTTATATTTCATGAAGAAAATATTTTCATATATTGCTTGTATGATTGAATGTTTATAATAAAACTTACTAAACATGCTTCCTCCTTTCCCCCCAACACACACCACATGTCCTGAAAGAAGTTGGGATTTTTAAGCAAGTTGCAGGGTAAGTTAAAACTAATTCAATCAAAACCTGGCAGAAAACCCAGTTAGATTAAGTTATTTTAATAAGATATTAAAAAGGGATACTTGTCTCTGTTTTGGCCAAGTTGATAAATGTCTTGGGATCACAGATAAGAAGTATCTGTACTTCTTTCCACTGAAGTTAGAACAAACAAATATGCATATACAGTCATGCATTACTTAACTACAGGGATGTGTTCTGAGAAACACATCCTTAGGTGATTTCAACCATGTGCAAACATCATGGAGTGTTCTTACACAAACCTAGATGATATACCCTGCTACACTCCTAGGCTATATGGTATAGCCTATTGTTCCTAGGCTACAAACCTGCACAGTGTGTTACCGTACTGAACACTGTAGGCATTATAATGCAATGGTAAGTGTTTAGGTATCTAAACATATCTAAACGTAGAAAAGACACAGGAAAAATATGGTATGAAAGATTAAAAATAGTATACCTGTATATAGTACTTACCATAGATGGAGCTTGCAGGACTGGAAGTTGGTCTGGATAAATCAGTATGTGAGTAGTGAGTGAATACGAAGGCCTAGGACATTACTGGGTGCTACTGTGGATTTCATAACAGTGTACACTTGGTTCACTTAGGCTATATTCAATTTATTTTAAAAGTAATTCTTTACCAATACTTTTCTCTTAGCTTTCTGTAATATTTTTGCTTTATAAACTTTTTAAAATTATATTTAAAGTTCTGAGATACATGTGCAGAACACGCAGGTTTGTTACACAGGCATACACATGCCATGGTGGTTTGCTGCACCCATTAACCCATCATTTACATTAGGTATTTCTCCTAATGCTATCCCCTAGCCCCACACCCTGCGACAGGGCCCAGTTTTTGATGTTCCCCTCCCCGTGTCTACGTGTTCTCATTGTTCAACTCCTACTTATGAGTGAGAACATGAGATGTTCAGTTTTCTGTTCCTGTGTTAGTTTGCTGAGAATGATGGTTTCCAGCTTCATCCATGTCCCTGCAAAGCACATGAACTCATTCTTTTTCATGGCTGCATAGTATTCCATGGTGTATATGTGCCACATTTTCTTTATACAGTCTATCATTGATGGGCATTTGGGTTGGTTCCAACTCTTTGCTATTGTGAATAGTGCTGCAATAAACATACCTGTGCATGTGTTTATAGTAGAATGATTCATAATCCTTTGGGTATATACCCAGTAATGCAATTATTGGGTCAAATGGTATTTCTGGTTCTAGATCCTTGAGGAATTGCCACACTGTTTTCCACAATGGTTGAACTAATTTACACTCCCACCAACAGTGTAAAAACTTTCGTATTTCTCCACATCCTCTCCAGCATCTGTTGTTTCCTGACTTTTTAATGATCACCATTCTAACTGGCAAGAGATGGTATCTCACTGTGGTTTTGATTTGCATTTCTCTAATGACCAGTGATGATGAGCTTTTTTTTTTTTGAGATGGAGTCTCACTCTGTCGCCCAGGCTGGAGTGCAGTGGCATGATCTTGGCTCACTGCAAGCTCCGCCTCCCAAGTTCACACCATTTTCCTGCCTCAGCCTCCCCAGCAGCTGGGACTACAGGCGCACGCTGCCACACCTGGCTAATTTTTGTATTTTTTAGTAGAGATGGGGTTTCACTGTGTTAGCCAGGATGGTCTCAATCTCCTGACCTTGTGATCCGCCCACCTCGGCCTCCCAAAGTGCTGGGGTTACAGGCGTGAGCCACCACGCCCAGTGATGAGCTTTTTTTCATACGTTTGTTGGCCACATACATTTCTTCTTTTGAGAACTGTCTGTTTATATCCTTTGCCACTCTTTGATGGTTTTTTTTCTTGTAAATTTGCTTAAGTTCCTTGTAGATTCTGGATATTAGCCCTTTGTCAGATGGGTAGATTGCAAAAATTTTATTCCATTCTGTAGGTTGCCTGTTCACTCTGATGATAGTTTCTTTTGCTGTGCAGAAGCTCTTTAGTGTAATTCGATCTCATTTGTCAATTTTGGCTTTTGTTACTATTGCTTTTGGTATTTTAGTCACGAAGTCTTTGCCCATGCCTACGTCCTGAACGGTATTGCCTAGATTTTCTTCTGGGGATTTTATAGTTTTACACTTTCCATTTAAGTCTTTAATCTATCTTGAGTTAATTTTTGTATGAGGTGTAAGGAAGGGTTCCAGTTTCAGTTTTCTGCATATGGCTAGCCAGTTTTCCCAACACCATTTATTAAATAGGAAATCTTTTCCCTATTGCTTCTTTTTGTTAAGTTTGTCAAAGATCAGATGGTTGTAGATGTGTGGCATTATTTCTGAGGACTCTGTTTTGTTCCATTGGTCTACATATCTGTTTTGGTACCAGTACCATGCTGTTTTGATTACTGTAGGCTTGTAGTATAGTTTGAAGTCAGGTAGCGTGATGCATCCAACTTTGTTCTTTTTGCTTAGAATTATCTTGGCTATATGGGCTCTTTTTTGGTTCCATATGAAATTTAAAGTAGCTTTTTCTAATTCTGTGACGAAAGTCAATGGTAGCTTGATGGATAGCATTGAATCTATAAATCACTTTGGGAAGTATGGCCATTTTCACAATATTGATTCTTCCTATCTGTGAGTATGGAACGTTAATCCAGCAGCACATCAAAAAGCTTATCCAACATGATCAAGTCAGCTCCATCCCTGGGATGTAAGGCTGGTTCAACATACGCAAATCAATAAACCTAATCCATCACATAAACAAAACCAATGACAAAAACCACGTGATTATCTCAATAGATGCAGAAAAGGCCTTCGATAAAATTCAACACCACTGCATGCTAAAAACTCTCAATAAATTTGGTATTGACAGAACGTATCTCAAAATAATAAGAACTATTTATGACAAACCCACAGCCAATATCATACTGAATGGGCAAAAGCTGGAAGCATTCCCTTTGAAAACTGGCACAAGACAAGGATGCCCTCTCTCACCACTCCTATTCAACATAGTATTGGAAATTCTGGCCAGGGCAATCAGGCAACAGAAATAAATAAAGGGTATTCATATAGGAAGAGAGGAAGTCAAATTGTCTCTGTTTGCAGATGACATGATTGTATATTCAGAAAATCCCATCATCTCAGCCCCAAATCTCCTTAAACTGATAAACAGCTTCAGCAAATTCTCAGGATACAAAATCAATGTGCAAAAATCACAATCATTCCTATACACCAATAACAGACAGAGATCAAAATCATGAGTCAACTCCCATTCGCAGTTGCTACAAAGAGAATAACATACTTAAGAATAAAACTTACAAGGGATGTGAAGGACCTCTTCGAGGAGAACTACAAACCACTGCTCACGGAAATAAGAGAGGATACTTTGGAAACTTTTTAAAAATTTTTGATTCTTTTGTAATAACAGAGCTTAAAACACAAACACACTTTATAGCTGTACAAAAATATTTTCTTTTTTTATATCTCCATTCTATAAGCTTTTTTCCTATTTTTAATTTTTTTTTTACTTTTTGAACTTTCTTCTTAAAAACTAAGACACAGACACAAACATTAGTCTAGAATTATGTCTATTATTCTCTGTTCCATTTCAATATCTAAAATATACAAATATTCTTTGCAGTATTTTCAGCTCTCTGCCTAAAGAGGGAGTTTTTGGCCACATGAATGGCTTTGCTTCTTAATAACTAGGAACTCTAGCAATGAGAGGGAACGCTGCCTGGGGTAGAAATCTTGAACTGATGATGTAAGCAAATTCCAATTTCCTTTTGCCTTATCAACACATAGTAACAAAGTATTGGCTAACATCTCTTTTAGCCATGTATATGAAAAAGAGAAAATAATATTCCTAATTTTAAAGGATTTTAATTGAAGAGTAATTGGCTATTACTCATTTCCTTGTGATATAAACTTTAAAAAGTATAAGACTATTTAGTCCACCTTGCTTCAAGCATAATTTACTAATTGTCTCTCTTCCTATAAGAAGAAATTTTTATTGATTTATATGGCTGTGCCAAGAGATGTATTACAGAGAATTTTTTTTCTTTTTCAATTTATTTTAGATTAGAGGGTATGTGTGCAACTTTGTTACCTTGATACATTGTATGAGGCTGAGGTTTGCGATATGAATAATCCCATCATCGTGGTACTGAGCATAGTACTCAACAATTAGTTTCGCAACCCTTGCTCCCCTCCCACCCTCCCTACTCTAGTAGTTCCCAGTGTCAACTGTTGCCATATTTATGTACATAAGTACCCAATGTTTAGCTCCCACTCATAAATGAGAACATGCAGTATTTGTTTCTGTTCATGCATTAATTCACTTAGGATAATGGCCTCCAGCCGCATTCACATTCCTGCAAAGGACGTGATTTTGTTCTTTTTATGGCTACATAGTATTCCATGGTGTATGTATACCACATTTTCTTTATCCAATCCACCATTGATGGGCACCTAGATTGATTCCATGTCTTTGCTATTCTGAATAGTGCTGCTATGAACATGCAAATGCATGTATCTTTTTGGTAGATTTGTTTTCTTTTGGATATACACCTAGAAATGGAATTACTGATTCAAATGGTAGTTCTGTTTTAAGTTTTTTGGGAAATCTCCAAACTACTTTCCACAGTGGCTGAACTAATTTACATTCCCACCAGCAGTGTATAAGCATCCTCTTTTCTCTACAGCCTCACCAGTGTCTATTACGTTTTGACTCTTTAGTGATAGCCATTCTAACTGTTGTAAGATGGTATCTCATTGTGGTTTTGATTTGCATTCTCTGATAATTAGTGATGTTGAGCTTTTTTTTTTTTTTATGGTGACTTGTGGAGTTGTGCCACCTGGCCTCCTATGCCTGCTAGCAGTATTCCTTTAAGGGTATGGTGACCTTGGGAAAATCCTTCACAGCACCACTTCCGCCTCAAGATTACCCTGGAAGATATATTTTATTTCCATAGGTTATTGGGGTATTTTTTTCCATAGGTTATTGGTTACATGAGTAAGTTCTTTAGTGGCGATTTGTGAGATTTTGGTGCACCCATCACCCGAACAGTATACACTGCACCCTATTTGTAGCCTTTATCTCTCAACCCCTCCCACCCTTCCCCCGAAGCCCCTAAAATCCATTGTATCTTTCTTTTGCCTTTGCGTCCTCATAGCTTAGCTCGCACATATCAGTGATAACATACAATGTTTAGTTTTCCCTTGCTGTGTTACTTCACTTAGAATAATAGTCTCTAATCTCATCCAGTTTGCTACGAATGCCATTAATTCATTCCTTTTTATGGCTGAGCAATATTTCATTGTATTTATATACCACAGTTTCTTTGTCCACTGGCTGATTGATGGGCATTTGGGTTGGTTCCACAATTTTGCAATTGCAAATTGTGCTACTATAAACATATGTGTGCAAGTATATTTTTCATATAATGACACTTTTCCCCTGAGTAGATACCCAGTAGTGAGATTGCTGGACCAAATGGTAGTGCTACTTTTAGTTCTTTAGGGAATCTCCACAATGTTTTCCATAGTGGCTGTACTAGTTTACATTCCCACCAGCAGTGTAGAAGTGTTCTCTGATCACCACTTCCATGCCAGCATCTACTGTTTTTTGATTTTTTTATTGTGGCCATTCTTGCAGGAATAAGGTATTATCACATTGTGGTTTTCATTTGCCTTTCCCTGATAATTAGTGCTGTTGAGCATTCTTTTCATTTGTTTGTTGGCCATTTGTATATCTTCTTTTGAGAATTATCTATTCATATATTTAGCTCACCTTTTGATGAGACTGTTTGTTTTGTTCTTACTGATTTGTTTGAGTTCATTGTAGACTCTGAATGTTGTCATTCAGACTCTGAATGTTGTCATTCAGACTCTGAATGTTGTCTTACATCTGTTGTCAGATGTAAGATTGTGAAGATTTTCTCCCACTCTATGGGTTGTTTGTTTACTCTGCTGACTTTTCCTTTTTCCATGCAAAACCTCTTTAGTTTAATTAGGTCCCAGCTATTTATCTTTGTTTTTATTGCATTCACTTTTTGGTTATTGATCATGAAATCTTTCCCTAAGCCAATGTCTAGAATGGTTTTTCCAATGTTATCTTCTAGAATTTTTATAGTTTCAGGTCTTAGATTTAAGTCCTTAATCCATCTTGAGTTGATTTTTGTATAAGGTGAGAGACAAGAATCCAGTTTCATTATTCTACATGTGGCTTGCCAATTATCACAGCACCATTTGTTGAAAGGGGTGCCCTTTCCCAACTTTATGTTTTTGTTTGCTTTGTCGAAGATCATTTGGTTGTAGGTATTTGGGTTTATTTCTGGGATCTCTATTGTATTCCATTGGTCTATGTGCCTATTTTTATACCAGTACCATGATGTTTTGGTGACTATGGCCTTATAGTATAGTTTGAAATCAGGTAGTGTGATGCCTCCAGATTTGTTCTTTTGGCTGAGTCTTGCTTTGGCTATACAGCCTCTTTTTTGGTTTCATATGAATTTTAGAATTGTTTTCTCTAATTCTGTGAAGAATGATAGTAGTATTTTCATGGGGATTGTGTTGAATTTGTAGATTGCTTTTGGCAGTTTGGTAAGAGTTTTAATCATAAAGTGATGCTTGGTTTTGTCAAATGCTTTATCTGCATCTATCGAGATGATCATGTGACTTTTGTCTTTAATTATGTTTATGTGGTATATCACATTTATTGACTTGTGTTACATTAAACCATCCTTTCATCCCTAGTATGAAACCCACCTGATCATGATGGATTATCTTTTGATATGTTGTTGGATTCAGTTTGCTGGTATTTTGTTAAGAATTTTAGCATCTATGTTCATCAGGGATATTGGTCTGCAGTTTTCTTTTTTGGTTATGTCCTTTCCTGGTTTTGGTATTAGGGTAATGCTGGCTCCATAGGATGAATTAGAGAGGGTTCCCTCTTTTTCTATTTTGTGGAATAGTGTCAATAGGATTGGTATCAATTCTTCTTTAAGTGTCTGGTAGAATTCTGTTGTGAATCCGTGTGGTCCTGGATTTATTTTTGTTGGTAAAGTTTTAATCACCATTTTAAACTTGCTACTTGTTACTGGTCTGTTCAGGGTATCTATTCTTCCTAACTTAAGCTAGAAGGGTTGTATTTTTCCAGGAATTTATTCATCTCCTCTAGGTTTTCTAGTTCATGTGCGTAAAGGTGTTCATAGCAGCCTTGAATGATCTTTTGTATTTCTGTAGTGTCAATTGTAATATCTCTCATTTTATTTTTATTTTTTTATTACACTTTAAGTTTTAGGATACATGTGCGTGACAAACACCGCATGTTCTCTCATTTTATTTTTATTGAGGTTATTTGGATTTTCTCTCTTCTTTTCTTTGCTAATCTTGCTAATGGTCAATCAAATTTATTTGTCTTTTCAAAGAACCAGTTTTTCATTTCATTTTTGTATTTCTTTTGTTTCAATTTGATTTAATTCTGCTCTGATCTTGGTCATTTCCTTTCTTCTGCAGGGTTTGGGTTTGGTTTGTTCTTATTTCTTTAGTTTTTTGAGAAGTGACTTTAGAATGTCAGTTTGTGCTCTTTGAGTCTTTCTGATGTAGACATTTAGGGCTATGAACTTTCCGCTTAACACCACCTTTGCTGTATCCCAGAGGTTTTGATAGATTGTTACTATTGTCACTCAGTTTGAATAATTTTTTAATTTTCATCTTGATTTCATTTTTGACCCAATGATCATTCAAGAGCATGTTATTTAATTTCCATGTATTTGCATGGTTTTGAAGGTTCCTTTTGAAGTTGATTTCCAATTTTATTCCACTGTGGTGTGACAGAGTGCTTGATATAATTTCAATCTTCTTAAATTTATTGAGGTTTGTTTTGTGGCCTATCTTGGAGGAAGTTCCATGCACTATTCAATAGAATGTGTATTCTGTGATTGTTGGATGAAATGTTCTTTATATAACTGTTAAGTCCATTTGTTTCAAGGTATAGTTTAAATCCATTGTTTCTTTGTTGACTTTCTGTCTTTATGAACTGTCTTGTGCTGTCAGTGGACTACTGAAGTCCCCCACTATTATTGTGTTGCTGTCTATCTCTTTTCTTAGGTCTATTAGTGATTGTTTTAGATATTTGAGAGCTCCCATATTAGGTGCACATATGTTTAGCATTGTGATATTTTCCTATTAGACAAGGCCTTTTACGATTATATAATGCCTCTCTGTCTCTTTTAACTGCTGTTGCTTTACAGTTTGTTTTGTCTCATATAAGAATAGCTACATATGCTTGCTTTTGGAGTCTATTTGCATGAAATGACCTTTTCCACCCCTTTACTTTAAGTTTCTTTGAGTCCTTAAGTGTTAGGTTAGTCTCTTGAAGGCGGCAGATGGTTGGTGGAGTTCTTATCCATTCTGCAGGTCTGTATCTGTTAAGTGGAGCATTTAGGCCATTTAAATTCAATGTTAGTATTGCAATGTGAGATACCATTCCGCTCATTGTGCTATTTGTTGCCCATGTACCTTGGTTGTTTTTTGTTTTTGCTTTTTAACTTGTAATTTTGTTGTATAGGTCCTGTGAAATTTATGCTTTAAAGAGTTTCTGTTTTGATGTGTTTCCAGGATTTGTTTCAAGATTTAGTACTCCTTTTAGCAGTTCTTGTAGTGGTGGCTTGCTGGTGGTGAATTCTCTCAGCATTTGTTTGTCTGAAAAAGACTGTATCTTTCTTTCATATATGCTGCTTAGTTTCACTGGATACGAAATTATTGGCTGATAATTGTTTTATTTGAGGAGGTTGAGGATAGGGCCCCAATTCCTTCTAGCTTGTAGGGTTTCTGCTGAGAAATCTGCTGTTAATCTGATACGTTTTTCTTATAGGTTACCGGGTGCTTTTGTCTCACAGCTCTCAAGATTCTTTCCTTCATCGTAACATTAAATAGCCTGATGACAATGTGCCTAGGCGATGATCTTTTTGCAATGAATTTCCCAGGTGTTCTTTGTGCTTCTTGGATTTGGATGTCTAGGTCTCTGGCAAGGTTGGGGAAGTTTTCCCTGATTAATCCCGCAAATATGTTTTCCAGACTTTGAGATTTCTCTTCTTTCTCAGGAACACAGATTATTCTTAGGTTTAGTCGTTTAACATAATCCCAGACTTCTTGGAGGCTTTGTTCATATTTTCTTATTTTTTTCTGTTTGTCTTTATTGCATTGGGTTAATTTGAAGAACTTGTTTTCAAGCTATGAATTTCTTTCTTCTACTTGTTCAATTCTATTGCTGAGACTTTCCAGAGCATTTTGTATTTCTATTAGTGTGTCCAATGTTTCCTGAAGTTTTGATTGATTGATTCTTTATGCTATCTATCTCCTTCAATATTTCTCCCTTCACTTCTTGTATCATTTTTTTTGGATTTCCTTGTATTGGGCTTTGCCTTTCTCTCATGCCTCCCTGATTAGCCTAATAACTAACCTTCTAAATTCTTTTACCGGTAAATCAGGGATTTCTTCCTGGTTCTGATCCATTGCTGATGAGCTAGTGTGATTTTGGGGGGGTTTATAAGAGCCTTGTTTTGTCATATTACGAGAGTTGGTTTTCTGGTTTCTTCTCATTTGGGTAGCCTCTGTCAAAGGGAAAGTCTAGGGCTGAAGGATGTTGTTCAGGTTCTTTTGTCCTTTGGGGGGATTCCCTTGATGGAGCACTCTCTCCCTTTTCCTATGGATGTGGCTTCCCAAGAACTGCATTGCGGTGATTGTTGTCTCTCTTCTAAGTCTAGCCACCCAGCAAATCTACCAGGCTCTGGGCTGGTACTGGAGGTTGTCTTCACCAACTCCTTTGATGTGAATAGTCTATGGGTCTCTCAGCCATGGATACCAGCACTTGTTCTGGTGGAGGAGGCAGGGGAGTGAAATGGACTCTATGAAGGTTCTTAGCTTTGGTGGTTTTAATGCTCTTTTTTTTTTTTTTTTGCTTGTTGGCCTCCTGCCAGGAGGTGGCACTTTACAGAAAGCATCAGCAGTGGTAGTATGCAGAGGAACTGGTGATAGGTGGTGCCCTAGAACTCCCAAGAGTATATACCCTTTGTCTTCAGCTACCAGGGTGGGTAGGGAAGGACCATCAGATGGGGACAGGGCTAGGTGTGTCTGAGCTCAGACTCTCCTTAAGTGGGTCTTGCTGCAGCTGCTTTAAAGGGTGGGGGTGAGGTTCCCAGGTCAATGGAGTTATGTACCTAGCAGGATTATGGCTGCCTCTGCTAAGTCATGCAGGTTGTCAGGGAAATGAAGGAAGGCCAGCAGTCACAGGCCTCATCAGCTCCCATGAAATCTGAAGGGCCAGTCTCACTCCCATTGTGCCCCCACTAACAGCACCAAGTCTGTTTCCAGGTAGTGGGCAAGCAGGGCTGAGAATATACCCCAGGCTACCCACCTCCCAGCTGTGAAAGTAAAGGGCTGTAGTTCCTCCCCACCTATGTAGTCTGCACACCAGATTCACACCCTCCCGTGAGTTCTGACTAGCAGGCTTCTCACCTGGTTCAAATTGTTACAAAGTTCAGCTGGAGACATCCTTCTCCATGTGGCATTTTCCCTGCACTTCCGGCCACCCTCTGGAAGGATCCCTGTGGTGCCAGGCAGGAATGGCCTGCTGGGGGACCCAGTGAGCTCCCAGGGCCTTTCCCACTGCTTCCGCTACCCCTGTATTTCGCTTGGCTCTCCTAAATTGACTCAGCTCCAGGTAAGGTCAGAAACTTCTCCTGCAAACTAGACCTTCAGTTTCCAAGCATTTTTTCATACTTTGTTGACCACATGTAAGTCTTCTTTTGAGAAGTGTCTTTTGCCCATTTTTTAAATGGGGTTCTTTGTTTTTTACCTCTTCAATTGTTCAAGTTCCTTACAGATTCTGGATATTAGACCTTTGTTAGATGCATATTTTGTAAATATTTTCTCCAATTCTGTAGGTTGTGTTTAATCTGTTGATAGTTTCTTTTGCTGTGAAGAAGCTCTTTAGTTTAATTAGGTCTCACTTTTTAATTTTTGTTTTTGTTGCAATTGTATTTTAGGACTTACTTATAAATTTTTTCCCTAGGCACATGTCCAGTATGGTGTTTCTGAGTTTTTCTTCTAGGATTCTTAAAGTTTGAGGTTTTACATTTAAATTTTTAATCCACTTTGCATCAATTTTTGTATATGGCGAAAGGTAGAGGTGCAGTTTTATTCTTCTGCACATGTTATAGCTAGCCAGCTATCCCGATATTGTTTATTGAATAGGGAGTTCTTTCCCCTTTGCTTATTTTTGCCAACTCTGTCAAAGATGAGATGGCTGTTGCTGTGAAGCCTTATTTATGGGGTCTCTATTCTGTTCCATTAGTCTATGTGTCTGTTTTTGCACCAGTATCACACTGTTTGGTTACTGTAGCCTTATATTAATAGTATAGTTGGAAGTCAGGTAATGGGATGCCTCCATCTTTGTTTTTGCTTAGAAATGCTTTGGCTATTTGGGATTTTTTATGATTCCTTATGAATTTTAGAATAGTTTTTTTCTAATTCTGCAAAATGTGATAGTAGTTTGATAGAAATACCATTGATTCCGTAGATTGTTTTAGACAGTATGGCCATTTTACCGATACTGAGTTTTCCAATCCATGAGGATGGAATTTCCTTCCATTTGTTTGTGTCATCTCTGATTTCTTTTAGCAGTGTTTTGTAGTTCTTCTTGTAGAGATCCTTCACTTCATTGGTTGAATGTATTGCTAGGTATTTTGTATTTGTTTGTGGCTATTGTAAATTGGATTGCATTCTTCATTTGGCTCTCAGTTATTGATATATAAAAATGCTACTGATTTTTGTACATTGATTTTATATCCTAAAACTTTGTTGAAGTCATTTATCAGTTCCAGGACCCATTTGACAGACTCTTTGGGGTTTTCTAGGAATAAAATCAAATTGTCCATGAAGAGAGATAGTTTAAATTCTTCTTTTCCTATCTGGATGACTTTTATTTCTTTCTCTTGCTTGATTGCCCTGGCTAGCACTTCCAGTACTATGTTGACAGAGAGGTGACAATAAGCATCCTTGTCTTGTTCCAGTTCTCCGAAGGAAAGCTTCTAGTTTTTGCCCATTCATTATGATATTGGCAGTGGATTTCTCATGGGTGGCTCTTATTATTTTGAGGTATGTTCTTTTGATGCCTAGTTCCTTGAAGCTTTTTATCATAAAGGGATGTTAAATTTTATCAAAAAGTTTTTCCATGTCTATAGAGATAATCATATGGTTTTTGCTTTTAATTCTATTTATGTTGTAAATCACATTTATTGATTTGCATAGGTTAAATGAACTTTGCATCCCAGGAATAAAGCCTACTTGATCATTGTGAGTTAACTTTTTGATGTGTTGTTGTATTTTGCTGAGGATTTTTTCATCTATACTCATAAGGGATATTGGTCTGTAGTTTTCTTTTTTCATTGTGTCTTCGCCAGATTTGGTATCAGCGTGATGCTGGCTTCATGGAATGAGTTGAGGAGGAGTGCCTCCTCCTTGACTTTTTGAAATAGTTTCAGTGAAATTGTTACCAGCTCCCCTTGTACATCTGGTAGAATTTGGCTGTCAATCCATTTGGTCTGGTACATTTTTTGATTGCTAGATTTTTTATTACTGATTTAATTTTGGAACTTGATATTGGTCTGTTCATTGTTTCCATTTCTTACTGATTTAACATTGGGAGAGGGTGTGTTTCCAGGAATGTATCCATTTCCTCTAGATTTTCTAATTTGTGTGTACAGAGTTGTTAATAATAGTCTCTGAGGACCTTTTGTATTTCTGTGGGACTGGTTGTATTGTAACCATTGTAATTTCTGATTGTGCTTATTAGAATCTTCTCTATTTGTTAATCTAGCTAGCAGCCTATTGATCTTGTTTATCCTTTCAAAAAACAACTTTTTGTTTCATTGATTCTTCGTATGAATTTTTGAGTCTCAATTTCCTTCAGTTCCTCTCTGTATTAGTCCATTTTCATGCTGCTGATAAAGACATACTCAAGACTGGCCAATTTACAAAAGAAAGATACTTAATTGCACTCACAGTTCCACGTGGCTGGGGAGGCCTCACAATCATCATGAAAGGCAAGGAGGAGCAAGTCACATCTCACATGGATGGTGGCAGACAAGGAGAGAGCTTGTGCAGAGAAACTCCTGTTTTTAAAACCATCAGATCTCATGAGACTCATTCACTATCTCAAGAATAGTGCAGGAAAGACCTGCCCCATGATTCAATTATCTCCAACTGGGTTCCTCCCACAACACGTGGGAATTGTGGGAGTTACAATTCAAGATGAGATTTGGGTGGGGACACAGCCAAACCATATCACACTCTGATTTTAGTTATTGCTTTTCTTCTGCAAGCTTTAGAATTTGTTTTTTCTTGGTCTTTTGTTTTTTGTTTGTTTTTTTTTTAGTTCTCATAGGTGTGATGTTAGATCATTAATTTGAGATCTTTCTAACTTTTTTAGGTAGACAGTTAGTGCTATAAACTTCCCTTTTAAAAATGCTTTAGCTGCATCCTAGAGTTTTGGTATTGATATAGTTTGGACCTGTGTCCCCACACAAATCTCATGTTAAATTCTCATCCCCAATGTTGGAGGTCAGGCTGGGGCAGGAGAATAGAGTCTGGGGGCAGGGAACACAAGGCCTATTCACACTGACTTCCTAGAACTAAATCAAATGGAAACATGTTTCCTCTCCATTTACGTAGGGCATACATCAAGTAAATGGCTTTGTAACTTTACTTCATCCTCTTCATTTACATAGGTCATGTACCAAGTAACCAGTGGAGACCTCTAGAGAGTATTTAACCTCCAGAAAATTCTGTAACCAGGCCCTTGAGCCCCTATGCTTAAACCTGCTCCTACTCTGTGAAGTGTACTTTCATTTTCAATAAATCTCTGCTTTTGTTGCTTCATTCTTTTCTTGCTTTGTTTGTGAATTTTTCCCATTCTCTGTTCAAGACACCAAGAAGCTAGACACCCTCCACTAGTAACAGGGCCTGGTGGTAGGTAACTGAATCACTGGGGTGGTTTTTCTTGAGTGGTTTAGCACCATCCCCCTAGTGTTGTTCTTGTGATAGAGTTCTTATGAGATCTGGTTAAGTGTAGCACCTCTCTTCCCTCCTTGGTCCAGCTCCTGCCATATAAGATATCTTCTCCCACTTTGCCTTCTGTCAGGAGTAAAAGCTCCCTGAGGCTTCCCCAGAAGCAGATGCTACTATGCTTCCCGTTTAGCCTGTGGAACCATGAGCCAATTAAACTTATTTTCTTTATATATTACCCAGTCTCATGTATTTTTTTATAGCATTATGAGAACAGACTAACATAGGGATGTTTTGTGTCTGTTTTCAGTTATTTCAAAAAAATTTTTGATTTCTGACATGATTTTGTTGTTTGCCCAAAAGTCATTCAGGAGCAAGCTGTCTAATTTCCATGTAATTGTGTAGTTTTAAGAGATCTTCTTGTTATTGATTTCTATTTTTATTCCACTACAGTCTGAGAGTATGTTTGGTATGATTTTGATTTTTTTGAATTTATTGAGACTTTTTTTATGGCTAAATATGTAGTCAATCTTGGAGTATATTCAATCTGCAGATGAGAAGAATATATACTCTGTGGTTGATGGGTGGAGGATTCTGTAGATGCCTATTAAGTCTAGTTAGTTAAGGGTCAAGTTTAAGTCCAGAATTTCTGTAGTTTTCTGCCTTAATGATCTTTCTAATGCTTTCCATGAAGTGTTAAAGTTTCCCACTATTATTGTGTGGCTGTCTAAGTCTTTTCATAGGTCTAGATGTACTTGTTTTATGACTCTGGGTACCAGTGCACCAATGTTGGGTGCATATATGTTTAGGGTAGTTAAGTCTTCTTGTTGAATTGAACACTGTCATTAGGTAACGCCCTTCTTAATTTTTTTTTTTTTTTTTTTTACTCTTGTTGATTTAAAGTCTGGTTTATCTGATGTAAGAATAGTGACCCCTGCTCTTTTTTGGTTTCTGTTTGCTGAATAGATCTTTTTCCAACCCTTTACTTTGAGCCTATGGGTATCACTATATGTGAGATGGGTCTCTTAAAGACAACAGACAGATGGGTCTTATTTTTATGTCCAACTTGCCACTCTGTGCCTTTTAAGTGGGGTGCATAGGTCATTTACATTCAAAGTTAATATTCATATGTGAGGTTTTGATCCTACCATAAAATTGGAAGCTGGTTGCTTTGTAGTTTATATTGTATTTTATCTTTATACAGTCTGCAAGTGATGTACTTGTGTGTTTTTTGTGGTAGCATTGTAGTGTCTATTGTACTTTTTCTTTATAGGGTCTGCAGGCTATGTACATAAGTGTGATTTTGTGGTAGGAGGTATCACTCTCTTTTTTTCCTGTTTAGAACTCGCATAAGAATCTCTTGTAAGGCTTAGCTAATGGTAATAAAATTCCTTACCACTTACTTGTCTAGAAAAGATTTTATTTCCCCCTTGCTTATAAAGCTTAGTTTGGGGGGATATGAAATTATTGGTTGAATTTTTTTTTTCCTTATGATGCTGAACATAGGCCCCCAATCTCTCCTGACATGTAAAGTTTCTGCTGAGAACTCCCTTGTTAACCTGATGGGGTTCCTTTTGTATGTGATATGCCCTTTTTCTCCAGCTGCCTTTGAGGTTTTTTCTTTAGCATTGACTTTGGACAGTGTGGTGATGATACACCTTGATAAGTATTGTTTTGTGTAGTATCTTTCAGGTGTTCTTTGGATTTCTTGTATCCGGATGTCTGTCTCTAACAAGATTAGGGATGTTTTCTTGAATTATTTCCTCAAATATATGTTTTAGATTCTTTGCTTTTTCTCCTTCTATTTTAGAAATGCCACTAACTTGTAGGTTTGGTCACTTTACAAAATCTCATATTTCTTGAAGACGTTGCTCATTTTTTAAAAAATTATTTTTTCTTTATTTCTGAAATTCTTTCTTCTGCTTGGGCCAATCTGTTGATAAAGCTTTCAACTGTATTTTGAAATTCCTTCAGTTAGGTTTTCAATTCCAGAAGCTGTGACTGATTTCTTTTTAAGATGTTATCTCTTCCTTCATTTCTTGGATTGCTTTAGAAGTTATTTTCTGTTGACTTTCAACCCTGTCTTGGATCTCAGT
This sequence comes from Homo sapiens, assembly GCF_000001405.40. NCBI lineage: Eukaryota > Metazoa > Chordata > Mammalia > Primates > Hominidae > Homo > Homo sapiens. The sequence goes on from NC_000005.10 coordinate 110,803,327, forward strand.
GAGCCACCTTGCAATCCATGCTTTGAATTCTTTATGTATCATTTCTGAATTTCCATTTCAGTTAGGAACCATTGTTGGAGAGCTAGGGCAATCCTTTGGTGGTGTCACTACATTCGTATTTTTCGTGGTGCAAGAATTATTGCACTGGCTCCCTCTTATCTGGAGACACTAACACTTCTAATTTTTGTAATTATTTTTGTGTGGGTAGAATATTTTCTTTTTCTTTCTTTCCCTATTATGTTAGTATACCATCATTTTTCTTTCCCTTTCCTTCCTAAGGGGTGTGACTGTAGAGAATGCTGAGTAAGGTCTTTAGGCTCTGCTTCTTTAACCCTGTGTACTTCTTTCAGCAGATTTTACATTGGGTTGTGCAATTTGGCCCACAAGCCCATAGATTACACTTATAGGTAAGAGCCAGCTGCAGCCAATGTGGTTGGGTATATACTTGATTTTTTTTTTTTACTTGCAACAGCACTCTGTTGCCTCAGGCAATGGGTTAATTTGTAGAATGCACAGTGGTCTAAGCTCCCTGCTTAGCCCTGGGGAGCTGGAATCACAAAGGGTGGGGCCAGACAAAGCAGGTCCACCTATGTCCAGGAAGGGTGGGGAGGCTCAGGCTGCTGAACCAAGTGAATGGGGACTCCAAATGCCTGGAGATCTTTCTGGGAGTGGAACAGAGAGAACCCTGCTGTACCACAATCTCTGTACAGGAATGGTGGGGTAGCTCAGTCTGCTGAACCAGGTGAACAGCTTTTCTGAGTGCCTAGTGATCTGACTGGGCATGGAGCAGAATAAGTCTTGCTGCACCAAGATCTGTGTCCAGGAAAGGTAAGGTGACTCACGATGCTGGTTCAGGCAAGTAGGTGCTCCAAATGCCTGCATTTCTGCCTGAAGGTGGATCATAGAGGGCCTTGCTACACCACAATCTCATGGGAGCATGGTATGCCACTTCTGAAATTAGGTTAGCAAGGACTCTGGCTTCCACCATGAGTGCATGTTTTCCATCTGTCTGCCTTTCAGTCTCTCTCTCTCTCTCTTTCTGTCTCTCTGTATCATTCTTTCCTGGGGAAGTAAGTGGCCATGTTACAAGGCATAGTATAGAAGGGCTTATATGGTGAGAAACTGAGTGTCTGGCCAACAGCTATTGAAGATACAAGGCCTGCTAACTACTATATGAGTGAGTTTGAAAGCAGACCCTTCACCTCAAGCTGAACATTAAAATGACACAGCCCTGCCTATTTTCACTGCAGCTTAAGTGCAACTTCATAAGAGATCTCGAGCCAGAACCTCCCAACTAAGCCACACTCAGAATCCTGACCCTCAGAAATTATGTGACCTAATACACCTTTGTTGTTCCTTTAAGCTGCTAAACATTGAGGTAATTTGTTACACAATATTCGGTAACTAATACTGTTAGTTACTAATTTTACAATACCTTTTTGCAGAGTCTGCACTGATTGAAAGAGAAGGGTAAATTGTAGTTATTTGTGGCCAGTTGGACATGAAAAAAAATGAACACCTTTTAACTGTAATGTTTTCTCACTTTTATCATCATACTCTTAAGAGATATGGATAGAGAAATCATTTTCCGCTGGGTGCGGTGGCTCACGCCTGTATTCCCTGCACTTTGGGAGGCCAAGGCGGGCAGATCATGAGGTCAGGAGATCGAGACCATCCTGGCTAACATGGTGAAACCCCATCTCTACTAAAAATACAAAAAATTAGCCGGGTGTGGTGGTGGGTGCCTGTAGTCCCAGCTACTCGGGAGGCTGAGGCAGGAGAACGCCGTGAACCTGGGAGGCGGAGCTTGCAGTGAGCCAAGATTGCACCACTGCACTGCAGCCTGAGCGACAGAGTGAGACTCCATCTCAAAAAAAAAAAAAAAAGAAATCATTTTCCTTTTACAAATTTGGAGTCTGATAGGTCTAGAGAGGCTCACTGTCTATCCAATATAATACAGCAGGCAAGTCAGTAAAGCCTGAACTGCACCTCCACTTTTCATATTTCTACCCCCATGGTCCTTGTCATGAGACTACCTTGCCTCTGCTTCCCACTTCTATCCAACAGTTGGTTGGTAGTCAACTAAAAAAGGAGGTTGAAAAACATTCAAGAGTTTAGCTTTAGGCTGTAATACCTAATATAAGAATGGGAATTGTAATGAAAGTTACCAGCTACATCACTTATGCCATTATTATTTTATAAAATAGTTTATTAAACCAGATAAACTGACACATTATGTATATTATCGTATTATGTATAGCCAAATTGGCATGTTAGACCAAATTGGCAGGTATTCCATCAACTCTTCATGTATCAGCTGCTTGTTAAAAACTGTGTCCAATTTTATTGTATGTTGAAAGAAGCACTTAAGAGTGAGATGAGATTCCATCTTTACAGTTTCTTCAGTGTTTTTGAAGGACCCAGATGCAGCTTACAAAACTTTTGAGTTTGGAGATCATCTTGAAGAGATGGGCTTTGAAAAGATTTATAAATGACCAACAAAGATGGTGTGGCTTCCACATTCAAAAATGTACCTCTTCTGTTGGAGGATGACTTTGAATTTGGTTACCTTGGATCTATTTTGATTTTTGAGTCCCTAAAAGTATTTCTGCATTATCTTAGTTTCAGGTGCTTAGATGTTTGGGGATTTAAAAAAAAAGCATGAGGCTTAACGATGATGTTGAGGCAATTGGCTTCATTTTATGAATTGGAAAAAATATTTGGGAGAACAAAATTATTCCTCTTGAGCTAAGAAAGTATTAAAATGGTATTACAATCTTAAAACAAGCATTCTTAGAGTGATTTATACTGTGATTTTTAATTCCTTTACTTCAGTGTTGAAATCACTTGAAATTAGAGAGCATGGCTAGAGTCCCAGCATCACCATGCACTAGCTATGTGAAACTGATTAAAGATGCTAAGCCTCAGTCACTTTACTGTAAAATGAGATTACTAATGCTACATTCCTTATAGTGTTTTAAGGAGAATTAAATAACTTAATTCCTGTACATTATATCATATAGTGCCTATTATATAACAAACTTTCAGCAGATGCTGTCCATTATTATTTAATAATAGTTTATTGAATGATAACAACCAGGTAATTAGGCCATGTTTCTCCTGGTTGCTATAATCTTCTGGAGAAGCAATCAATCTATAAAAATGATGGAAACTGAGAAGGAAAAGGGGCTAGAAAAGTAAAAGATAAAAATCAGCTAAATTTACTAATTTTAACTCACATTACTGGGGAACAGATCACATCAAACTTTGAGGTAAAACTATGTATTAGGAAGTAAATACCAAACACATTCTAATATTCTTTTAGTCCACTATATTTATTTTCACAAATATTTACTTGGTACCTAACCTATACAGTTTTGAGAGCTTGTTACCTAATTATTTAAGTTGTAATGTACTCAAGTATCTTTCCCTATAAAGGCTGATTACCATTTTATAGCAGGTTTATACTGCTGTTAGAATTTCTGAGTCTTCCTTTCAGTAACGACCGGATAAAATGTGACATCTTCAGCAAAGTCTTAATCAAGACATTCAAGCAAAGGCAGCTTTTTCTTCTATTCTGCTCCCCTAGATACTATTTCACAATTATTCCCACCAGAATGTATTCTAAACATTTATTTATATACTTCTTTCCTCCACTAGATAGCAATCACATCAGAAGTATGAAGTTAAAAATTTTCTTTTCATTTTATGTTTTGCAGAACGGAGGTACATAAACATTACCTGAATGAATGAGGAAGGAATTTGATTCTTTACTGTGGAGCAGAGTACATAGAATACTAAGATATATATGTATTTAGTGATATTGATATAGATTTAGATATACATATGGACGATATATAGATATATGGTATTTAGTAAGAACAACAATCTTACTCTTACATCCGACCTCTGAGGTCACTTACGATAGTGTAGTGAAGAGGGCTGAGACTACTGACAGTTCTTTCTTTTCCCAAAGTGGATTCCCAGCAGCTTTTTTTTGTCAATTTCTCTTGGCAGTGGCTTCTGGCACAGGCTCCCAACAGCTGCTCCCATCTGTAATGGCTCTTCTCTCAAATAGCTCCCGTTGTCAGTGAGTCTCATTGCTACAATTCTAGGACAACAGTAGTGCTTCCTATTTTGAAGCCCTCTTGCCTCCTTTATTCTTCCTTTGGTAATTGGTTCCTGCTTTCTTTGCACCATTTCTGGGTGGGTAGTTTACAACAGAGTCTACACAGAGCCCTCCAGGTAGTTACAGAATAAACCCACTCTTTTTCATTGGTCCTTTAATGTAATCCTCATAATAACCCTCGTGAATGGGTTTCAGAGATATTGATCCTCTCAGTCTCAGAGTTGAATAAACCCACTCTTTTTAAGGGATCAGTTCAAAGATATTAAGACAAAAAATCCTAAGTTATAAATAGTGTTATAGTCTCAGTAACTTTCTATGGTCTACCTAATGTGTTCTGAGGTTTGGGATCCCCCAGTGGAGTTATAACTGCTTCAGGACATTATACCCTCAGCGATTAACTGAACACATGTCTAGTGGAGATTTTACTTTATTTTATTTTACAATGCATAACTACCCTTTCTTCTGGTATAAGCAGTCAAATGTTATTTTGGGAATGCTTCCCTCACCTAGTTCCAGTGCATATGGCTGAGGTGGAGATACAGAGAACCCACAAACCCATTTGTTTAAGAGATTATGCCGTGTTCTGTGTTGCACAGGTTCTATGTTAATCCAAACAACAGAATATCAGGAATTTTATTTGTCTATCTATGTATTAAAAGAGCTAAATTATTTTTCCAATGTCTTTGATAAAGATAAAGAATTACGTGAGCTTCAGCTGCTGGTGGCAGCTACAGGAAGATGGCTTGTCTGAGAGTGTGTATGCATGCATGCGTGTGTGTGTGTGCCTGTGGGTGCGTAAGAGAAAGAGAGAATTCTGAAAGTAATATTTGAGTGCTTGGACTTAGACTTCTTGTCCACCTCTACCCACGAACTTCTCTATGTGATTAAATAACATTATTATTATTATTATTATTATTATTATTATTATTATTAATGCAATCTAGGCTGAATTAGGTTTCTGCAACTTGTAACAAATATGGCTTAACTACTGAATGAAGAAATGAAGAGACTTGATGGAAGCTCCAGATCCCACTTGCCCATTTTTACCTAGGTAGTAACCATATAATCAGGGAACCAGGATTCTCAGAACAGTTTTTATTTCAAATATTTCCTCCTATTTTCCCTATCAATATATGTTCAATTGTTACATTTTATTATTTTTCCCCAGAAATAAATGGTAATTATACTCATAGAGCATAGGGACACCAATGAAAACCAAGTTTTTCCATAGCTACTTTGGGACTTTCCGTGTTCTTTTGTAAATGTCAAATTACAAAAGAGTTAATTGTAACTACTCTTCCAGCTCTTCCACACAGAACTGTGAATATTTGTAAATATATATATGTGTGTGTGTATATATATATATACACACATACACACACACACACATACATATATATATGTAATGGTATATTAGTTCACAGAGTATATAAAATAGAAAGAGTATATAAATGTATGGTTTAAAAGCTATTAATACTGTGAATAACTTTGCAGTAATAATGAAGTACCCAGGAATGGCCATCTTCCCTAGTGCAGCATAAATCTTGGAAATAATACCAAGGTCCTGATAACATCTAGCACAGTTTTTATTGTGTGTATAATGCCCTTTTTGACTACTTAATATGAAAATATTTCTCAGGAATTTTCTAGTTGAAAGCACTTGTATACATCTATTTTCTCATCACCTAGTATTTAAAGGTTTCGAAAAGGCACAGTGGAGTCATTTCCTTACTCATATATGAGTTGTAGTGCCAGGAAGCAAGTTTCAGTCTTTCCTGGGAAGTCTTCCTAGATCCAGTCATCATTCTTAGAAGAAAAATAGGCTAAGAGAAGGACACTGAGAATGTAGAGACAACCCATTTCACCTTCTTATCTTTCACATGAATAAATCAAACTTCAGAGAGCTGTACTGTTGCACTGATATTAACTTGCTGCTGTAGTCCATTGCCCTATTTTCCATTATTTAGTCTGTTTCCATTATTAATGCTGTTGCACTGGGGATATTATAACCTGAATACATCAGATAATTCCTACATGGAAGAAAGAAATAAAAGGTGGTCATCTAGATAATTCAAGCCCCCCAAAAAGTAAAAGAAAACTTTCAGAGAAATGAGTATAATGCAGCAGTGACCATTTTAGACAAAAAATATCTCTGCTCTAATGGGCCTTACATTCTAGTAGGGTGAAAGAGTCAATAAATACGATAAATTACTGAAATACATGTTAAATGATGATAAGTACCAAATACACAATAGATTGTGTATATACCATGTAACAACACATTATATTTTTAATGTTTTAGAAATAAAATAATGGAAATATGTGACCTGGGTAAAACTCACTTCTCTACTTTCAAGTCTGAGCTAAAAGGCTACTATGGGCTGTAGGTATTTTTGTCCAAAAGAGGACTATACTAACAAAAAAGTGTCAATATATACGTTTGGAATCTGGAGTTGAAAGGGATATAAAGAAAATTCTAATATAGTCCAAATTATCTAGAATAAAATTAGTTAAAAACTACCGCAGCAAAACATAGAAACTGGGGATAAGGGTGGGTGGACAGAAAAATAAAACATCCAATGGACTTGGGCAGGGGTAGGGAAGAAGAAGGAGAGCAGGGAAAATTAGAAGTATTCCACAGGTCTCTCATCTTTTTTAGATTGAAAAGAAATAGAGGGGATAGTTTCTATTTGTATTTTATATTCAAACAATATTATAGAAATTTGCATGATTATGAAAATAGAGAAAGGAAAAGTAGACATTAACAGAAGAGCAAAGTAAAACTTCCATAAGGAATAAGGAATTCATGAGGAATTCATGAAATAATAACAACCTGATCAAACTAGCAGAAAAATAGAACTGGAAAATATAAAAGAGTAATATGAAATGTGTAATACTAAAAAAGCATCAATTCATATGGAATTAATAAGCATAATTCATTATACTGAGAGAAAACTGACTGATTTATCCAATCAGGTGAAAAGAGATAGTCAAATTGGCTGTTAAAATAAAAGCTGCATGCTTTATTAAAAAAACACACTTAAAGTCCACTGATAAAGATGGGTTAGAAAGTAAGCAGATAGACAAAAAAAGGTACCAGGTAATGCAAAGCAAAAAACAAAAATCCACAGTAAAAATATTAGTAACAAACTATTTGTAATTTAAGATTAAAAGAATTTAAAAAGATAAAGATGAGTATTATATAATAAAAGACATCTTTTATGAAGAAGACATATTAATAGTAGATACAACCCTACAGCTCCAAAGCATAGCATATAAATACATAAAATCTTTTAGAAGGAGACAGGTTAAAAATCAAATTTTAGAGGAAGTCTTCAACACACTAATCAGAATTGGAAAATTCTATAGAAGCCTTTACACCTTGACAAAGACTGACAGAATCTATTTTATCAGAACTCTGGAATTGAATCCAAAATTTTCAATAACCCAGAGGATTACTTAATGAAAAAAAAAGGCAGCTGACATTTGGTAAGAGAATGTTGTGCTGCTTTTACACATATGACTCCCATTTACCATTTTCCAGCATGGTGGGCAGGGGGAGGTAGCTGTGGGGAGGGCAGCTCATATTCTTGGTGTGGCTTGCTATTGCCAGAATGATAATATACACCTTGTTATTCAAATACTGTAGTTGTACATTTGGACCTGACTGGTGGTTCCCTTAGGGACCAGTTCAGAGCCTGAATTTTGTTCTGCCACCCTCCCATCCTAGACTGGAGCAGCTTTCTGGGTTGTGGTGATATCTATTGAAATATTTAATGACATACCCTACCTATGCCCACCTGAGGCAGGAGGTGATAGACAGGACAAGTAGCAGGCAGAAAAAAAGTTCAGAAAGAAGAAGCCTAGTGATAAAGTTTTTTGAAGAAACAAAGTCTTGGAAGGGCCACTTCATTTATTGGGGAAGATGAAGTGCAAAACACATGCTTAGAACCAAACATTGAGAGTACCCTAGCACTGCACCTCTGACAGATCTGTGAGCTCTGGGCTTTATGAAAGCAGGAGCTGAAAGTTAAGGCATAATTTTAAGCAATCTGGTTTATGATTTATTTTATTCTTGGCTCTTGGCTAACCACTAAGATAATGGGCAGAGACTTTAGAGTGCCCACATGACAAGGAATGCAATTTTTGCAAAAAATAGTTTTGGAAACATTACCAAACAATTGGATGACTGAAGCTTTCAATGATTAGCATTAGAAAACTTTGGAGAAAAGGAATTATTTGATTTCTGAAGTTAACACATGATAATATTCAAAATGCCTAATTTTCAACCCCAGATCAGAAGGCATTAAAAAAAAAAAAGAAAATACTTGCAAACTATGCATCTGACAAAGGTCTCATATCCAGAATCTATAAAGAATTTAAACAAATCCACAAGCAAAAAAATAAATAAATAAACCTTATTTAAAAATGGGCAAAAGATATGAACAGACACTTCTTAAAAGACATACACATGGCCAACATGCATAAGAAAAAATGCTCAATATCACTAATCGTCAGAGAAATGCAAATTACAACCACAATGAGATGCTAGTCAGAATGGCTATTAATAAAAAGGAATAAAAGAACAGATGCTGGTGAGGCTACAGAGAAAAGGGAATGCTTACACACTGTTGGTGGAAATGCAAATTAGTTTGGCCACTGTGGAAAGTAGTTTGGAAATTTCTCAATGAACTTAAAATGGAATTACCATTTGACATGGCAATCCCATTACTGGATACCCAAAGAAATATAAATCATTCTACCATAAAGACATATGTACTTGTATGCTCATTGCAGCACTATTCACAATAGCAAAGACGTGTAATCAACGTAGATGCCCATCAATGGTGCATTGGATAAAGAAAATGTGGTACATATAGTCCATGGGATACTATGCCGCCATAAAAAATGAAATCATGTCTTTTACAGCAACATGGATGCAGCTGGAGGACAGTATCCTAAGTAAATTAACGTAGAAACAGAAAACAAATTTCGCACGTTCTCACTTATAAGTAGGAGCTAAACATTGAGTACACATGGACACAAACAGGGGAAAAATAGACATCAGGACCTACTTAGGGCGAAGGATGGAGGAGAATGAGGGTTGAAAAACTACTTATCAGGTACTATGCTCACTACCTCAGTGACAAAATCATTTGTGTACCAAACCCCAGAAACTCACAATTTACTCGTGTAACAAACCTGCACATGTACCCTCTGAAACTAAAATAAAAGTTGGAAATGGAAAAAAATAAACAAAAAGGAAAAAAATGAGAAAAAATCATATATTATGGGAGTCTTAGAAGAAAAAGAGAATGAAAAAAGGGCAGAAAGAATAGTTGAAGAAATAATGGCTGAAAACTTCCCATATTTGATGAAAGATATAATCTACACATACAAAAAACTCAACAAATGCAAAGTAGAAAAAATGCAAAGAAATCAACACCCAGACATTTAATCAAATAAAAGACAAAGAGAGAATCTTGAAGAAGCAAGAGAGAAGCGAGCTCGTCATGTACAAGAGATTCTCAATAAAATTAAAGCCTATGTCTTTCTCATCAGAAACTGTGGAGGCTAAAAGGCAATGGAATGACATATTTAAATTTCTGAAAGAAAAAGAACAACCCATAAAGCAAGAATTCTGTCTCTGGCAAAATTATTCTTCAAAAATGAAGAAGAAATATAAACATCCCTAGGTAAATAAAAGCTGAGGGAGTTCTTTTCTTGTAGACCGGCCCTACAAGAAATGCTAAAGAAAGTCTTTCAGGTTGAAATAAAAAGACACAGGGCAATATCTCAAAGCCATATGAAGAAATAAAGAATATTGGTAAGGGTAACCACGTAGATAAATATAAAAGCCAGTGCTAATATTTTTTATTTGTAATACCACTTTTTATATTCTACATGATTTAAAAGACAAGTGTATAAAATGATAATTATAATCTCTGTTAATAAGCAAACAGTGTATAAATATGTAATCGTGACTACAACAACTTAAAAGGGGAATTAAGTGATGAAGCTGTTTTATTCCCTGGTTCTCTCCGAAAAAACTGATCAATCTATAGTTTAGCATGTATCTTTAATTGCTTCCCTATTGCCTTTCACTACAACTTTCACTATTCTCCCTTTAGGCTCGAATGTCTCCAGGCTCTGTTGCAAGTCAAGTCAATTTCTTTAGTGCAAGATTATGAACTGTTTTATGACCTGATTCTCCACCCAGGGAAATTTCTGAGACAGATATCTAAGACTAGGGATGGAGACAATGGCACCCTCTCTCTGAGGGACACTTTCATTCTAGGAGCTGAATGGTAGGTGTTTGAAGGGAAGTAGCCTGATATTCTCTTGGTTTGCCTCTCCTGATGTGGAAACACTGCTTTCTGAGCTGAAGCAAAGTAATCGGAGCCCAAATATTTTCAGAATGTTGTGCTCATGTTATGCTTCCATCCCTCAAATGGGGGCTGCGTGGAAGAAGAGGGGCTTTACCTCTCAACTGCACTCACCTGGAGCTTAGTCTAAGTAAAAGGTAACTGTTTTTCAAAGATGAATTATTAATTAAATAGAATATGGCATTACACTCTGGATTTATATGTGAGAAGGTAAAATAAATAAAAAGAGCATGAAAAATAGGGGACTTTAATGTAATTTTAATATAACATGTAATTTTAATTACATAACATTATTATGTAATGTAATGTAAGTTTCTTTGGTCTTGTAATATTGATTCTAAGCAGGGTGTGGTAAAATAATAGATATTGCAATCCATAAGCAATTAAAAACATATACAAAAAAAGTTTAGCTAAAATGTCACTAGAGAAACTGAAATGGGATGTAAATAGGAAAAAGGCAACACAATGCAAATGAAAGCTACATAAAATAAATAGCAAGATGGTAAACTCAAACATATTAATACATATATTAAATATAAATGGATTAAACACACCTATTAAAATGAGAAGATTGACAGACTGGATAAAAAATATCAACAGCCAACTATATGCTTTCTACACTACATATACTTCAGCATAAAAACATAGATATGAAAAGCAAAAATATGAAAAAGGCATACCATGTAAACAGTAAGCATTAAGTCAGCTGGTATGGCTGTATCAATATCAGATAAACGCTACTTTGAAATGAGGACAATTACCAAGGATAGAATAAAGCACTCCATAATGTCAAATGGGTGAATTTCTCAGGAAGCAATAAAAATTCTAAACTTGTATAGACCTAATAACAAAACTTCAAAACTAAAAATAGGAAAAAAATTTTGAATTTTTTTTTTTTTGAAACAGGGTCTCACTCTGTCACCCAGGCTGGAGTGCTGGGGCATGACCTCAGCTCACTGCAGCGACCACCTCCCAGGCTCAAGCAATCCTCCCAACTCACCCTCCTGAGTAGCTGGGAAAACAGGCACATACCACTGTGCCTGGCCAACTTTTGATATTTTGATGAAGATTCAGACACAATTCAATGGAGGAAGTATATTCTTTACAAAAAATGGTTCAGGAACAATTGGACATCCACAGGCAATAAGAAACTATTTATATATAATATAAAAATTAATTCCAAATGGTTTATGAACTTAAGTGTAAAATATAAAACTTTTAGATGAAAACATGGGAGACCATCTTTGGGATCAAGAATTAGGCAAAAAGTACTTAGATATGAAAATAACTGAATGATCCATAAAAGGAAATCATCAAGTTGGAATTCATCAAAATGAAAAAATTGTACTATGAAAGACTATTAAAAGGATGAAAATACAAACTATAACTCTAAGAAGAAATATCTGCAAGTCACATATACAAAATATTTTTATATGCCTAGACCATATAAAGAACTCTCAAAACATAACAGTGAAAAAACAACAATCCAATTTAATAGGCAAATTACATGAACAGCTATTTTCTCAAAGGGTAAATAGAGATGGCAAGTAACCACATAAAATGATGCTCAACATCCTTAGGCAAATCTGTAGACATGGAGAACGCATTAGTTCTTGCTAGGGGACAGGGACTTAGTGGATGGGAGGTGGCTACAATTGCAAGGAAATAGCACAAAGGAGTTCTTTTGTAGTGGTGGCGGATGAGGTTTTTTAAAAATCTTTGTTGCGTTGGTTACATTAATCTATATGTGGGATAAAATTGCATGTACACAAATGCAGAAAATGATTATAGGCTTAAAAAATAGTGAAAACTGAAGAAGGTCTAAAGCCTAGTTAACAGTGATGTACCAATATCAAATTCCTTGTTTTTATATGGTGCTACACCTATACGGTAAGCCTATAATTATTTCAAAATAAAAATTCAAAAAATTTACATCTCCCCCATAAAGAACACAGACCCATTTCCTGTAGTAAAAGAAAACAAACTACAATAAATGCGGGAATGTGATGAGCCCACGGAATGCTTAAAACATAAGGAAATAAACAAGTGGGTGAATCTAATGTGGGAAGTAGTATTTGAATTTAATTCCTGATTCTGTTAAAACTGGAAATAACTGAAGAGTAACTTCAAGGAATTATTAACAGGATGCTTCCTTCTTATCTTTTAGCTCTATAAGAATATTCTAAGTGTTTCAGATAGGCCTCTTCCAACAGTTATCAAGCCCTTATGAAATATTTTGAGCTACTGACAGGCATTATGCACAGTGGCAGAACAATGACATAGTGTCTGGTGAATGCAGGAAATTACTAGTCACAGAAACAATTCTGACCTAACAAGTGAGATTTTAAAATTATATATATATATACACACACACACACACACATAGGAAAACTTAGCTAAGTAATACAGCTTTGAATAGTTGTGAAAAGTATACCTGCATATTCCTGACTACACAATCGGCCAAAAAAAAAAAAAAAGTGGGGGTTCCCAGGAAAAGATCACACAATTCAGTTTTCAAGTGATCCTTAAGTGACATCACTTCATTGCTTAAGCCAGCACTAGAAACAGAATTGTTAATACTCACTTCCTGATTCTCCTGAACTCATTTCTGGTCTGCATGCTGTCACTAACTCATGTCCTTTAATTCTTCCTGATACAGAATTGTCCCTTTGCTTTCTCATGCTATGTATATTTTATTTACCTTTTCTTATCATCCCTTCAAGGTGTTTTAATCATTTTTAGCACTTCCTTGGGGCTCAAGTATAAGTTATTTATTAAGTATTTTGTTAAGATTTTATTAACTGATGTCTTGCTGTTATACAACAAGGGAAATGAGACAAAGATATAAAACAAAGCAAAAGGGTCACAGAGAGAAGGCAAAGTATAATTAAGCTCATGAAATTTTTAGCTATTTTATGGATACCCTGCTAGTGGCCCCATAGGATTAAAACAAGTTCAAAAATATTAACATGTTCAATAGATAAGGAAATATAGATGACAGAATCATAAACTTGCTAACTTATAGAGAACAAAAAGGAAAACAGAAAATTTGCATTAGATAGCCACTTTTTAAGCTGTAATCCCAAAAGACACTTCTCCTAATTCAATTAGAATTATCCTAACACACATACGTCTCATACAGTAATGTAAATAAAGGTACATTGTGAGGTCAACGTAGATATAAATGTATGAATAAAAATAGATCAAGATGGCAAAATTTATACAGATTTGCAAACATGCCTGTAGTATCACTTGTTTCTACATCCTATTTATGTAATAGATTTCATAGAAAGCAAACATTTTAATTAATCCCTAATAAAATGAGCAGAATGACATTCATTTTTGCTTCTAAATATTTTTTTCTATTTCTCTTGCTTCTCTATTGCCTTGTTTATCATTATCTAAATTATTAAAATTCTAATAGTCCCCTCGATGCCTAGCATGGTTTGGTGCTAAAAACAGCACTTGTCAATGTATTCATGTTAACAGAACTATATTAAAACATCACTTACACATATCAGAAATGTCTTATTCAAAAAGCTCATAAATAAAAAGTTGGGCAAGCCAAGATAGGTCCAATAATGAGGTGTCCCTGGTGAAGGTGGAAGTTGTGAAAGTGTTCGCGAAGAGTGAGAACATGAAAAAGTTTAGCAAATTAAGGTGGGGCCAAGTCATAAATTCCCTAAAACTCAGGTTAAGGAGGTGTATGTTTCTTCCTGAATTATTCAGAGGTGATGAAAGATGAAGTGAAAACACTTATCAAGTGAAAACACATTTCTTTTTAATCGGGAGTCTTACATCTCATTGTACAGATGTGCATGACTCACTTGGCCTACCTCGCAATTGATTCGAAGTCAAGAAAAATTGTTTCACTTTCCACTTTCACTTTTCCTGATGAGGAGAAGCCAATGTGGTGAAATGCAGGAATGAAATTATGATATCAGAATACTTTCCCTGGAAAGACAAGTGCAGGCGCACATCTGAGGTGCACATAGGAAATTTTACGCTGTATTTCTGGCTCTTAGCTTATGTGAATGCTGAAAATTTTGGTAGGTGCATGATTGGAGCCTGAGTTGGAGTCTCATTCAGGAATTGCAGAAAATACCAAGGAGACATAACTTTTCAAGCTATGTCTCCACATGGTGTAGGAATGTCAGTTGCTTCTTTTGTTGAATAGTGATGATTTTATTATCCAAAATGCAGAGAGCCTCAGAAATAATACAAGTAATCTCTCACAGGTTTGTGCTTTCCAAAGCCCACAGCACTCTGCAAATCTCAAACTCTTTCCTACCCTTCATCTCCTAGGTTTACTTTCTCACAAGCTTGAAGCTCACCATCATCTTGATTAATTTCAGTGCACATGATCAAAATGTGCTTTAGCTGGGCTCAACATTCTCTGATGTATTTGAGTTTAAGAGACCTTGCCTCTATTCCACAGTTCACTCTAAATACTATTCCCTGGATTTTGCTATCATCTAGAACTGCCCCACATTTGAAATCTTGTTTTGGAAATTTTTTTTTCTAAAGGAAAGTAATTACTGCTCATTATAGAGATTTTGGAAAAATTACCCATAAACTCGTAATCTAAAATTATATCAGAGTCATTCAGTGCTGTCTCTATCTCTTTTTATTTTAAATTTTTTAAAAATTTAATTGGCAAGTAATAATTATATGTGTTTATGAGGTACAATGGGATGTTTCAATATATGTTTACCTTGCAGAGTGATTAAATCAAGATAATTAACACATCCATTACCTTACATACTTATGATTGTGTTTGTGTGTGTGTATGTGCATGTGTGTATGTTAAAATCCATCTCCTTAAATCAGGGAATCCAGTGGTGGGGATGGGTTTAACTTCTTGTTGGCTTCTCCTATCCTCTTCTAGGGACTTATGTTTGACTTTGTCTGGCTTTACTACGTCAATTCCAACTTCCTAACCATTTTTCGTCTTCCCAAATTTTTGACATTACTTTTTCTGCTGTTTCTTGTTCTCTCTGTGCTTATAGGGTTATACCTTTTATTACTTTTAGTGGTTTTCAGAGGGAGCAGAGATAAACAATTGTGTTCAGTCTGCCATGTTTAGCATGTTTAACTTCCCAGCTATAGCCAGTCCTTTTGCACAGCAACCAGCCTCTCCTATTTGCTCCATCTCGGCAGCATTGTTCTTTCCACTTTAAGCCCCTAGTGCCCTTCTGCCTTCTGTATCTTATCTTGTTACTAAAAGCTAGAAATGAACTAACCATAATTTACATATGTTTTTCTTAATATCTCCAGCTTTTCATGACATGACACTTCTACTACCATTTTTCAGTTGCCATAATCCTCTTTCTTAAAAGAAGATTTTAAGAAAATCTTCATCTCGTGGTCAAACAGAAAATGATGATAGTAATATAAGCTGGTTACACATAATGGGGTTTGACTAATTATATATACATGTGAACACATTTGAGTCAATATGTTTTTTCAAGCAGGGCTTACATTTTGCTTTTTTCTCTGAGAATAAACTAGAAACTTGTATGACTATTTAAGGAATTCTGGATTTTTGCCTACAAGTGAAGAAATGTGTGCTTTGTCTAGTTCTGGGATGTTCTGACATTATATTGAAGCATGTACCTTTATCCAGTCAGAAGAATGCTTTGATAAGTTGGAATTTTGTAAATATCCTGCTCATCTGGTTTTATCCCATATAGGCACCCAAATCCTGACCAGAGTGGTCAGATACCATGTTCACTACAGGTACTTAAGAGAAATTATCTTAGATATTATGAAAAGGGAAAATATATATTTGTCAATATAATTGGTCCACTTTTTTGAATGCCCTGATAAAAGCATAAAAATGCAAGAGGTTCAAACCAGCTCTTCCTGGCTGAGTCGCCTGTTGAATTCTGCAAATAGCCTTTGGGTTATCTATCATACTTTACCCATGGCTTCAATTTTTTGCTTTCTTGTGACATTTTTTTCAAACTAGTTACAGATTTTTCTTAGTTTCTGCTGATTGTCAAATATTACTTTAAATACAATCTTTATCAATTAATATACAGGCAATCCTTCTTTAACTCAACTTCCTTCTGAAAATTCTGGTTGTTTACTTAATTTTGCAATGGCACTTGTAGTAGCTCCACTCTGTAGTCTAAGTAGCCTCTGGTTCCCCATAAGCTCCTCAGGACCATTTGTGTTCCATGCTGGGACAATAAAAGAAGAATTTAAGCCTCCTTTTAGCAGCAAGAGCCTATTTCTTGATTAGGAACTGGGTGGAAAGAAAATGAGTCCTCCACTAAATAGGAATGAGGACATCATGGCATTTCCAATGTTATCCATTAAACATTGCCCTATAATGTCCCACTTCTCTGGAAAACCAGTCTTTAAATATATAAAATCCAGGGTTGTATAAGGTTTTATAATTCATCTACTCAAAAGTTTGAACTTAAAGATGAAATATCATGTCATTTACAGGCAATTGGTGTAAGGTGGGAGCTGTGGCCTGCAGGGATAGTATATTCTTCCCATGTGGCACCTCTTTTGACCAGAACAGGCTGGAAATAAGCAGCTTATTGCTACTGGAAAACTACTTTCAGGACTACTGTGGACGAGAAGTAAATGTCCCAGTATCATGGCTTCTTCTTGGAACTATAGTTTTCTCTAAGCCATATTCATATGGCTGATGGGTTTCCTGAGCATTACTGCTTGCCCTTCCCTTCCGCTTTGTTCAGATAATGGGTCAGTAAATATTCTCCCCTGTCTCTATGACTTAGATGTTGCCTTTGTCCCAAGACACAAAGCTCCGTATTTTACAAATCATTCTATAGTTGGCATTATATCAGCAATATTTAGTGGTAGGTTTTGTTTCACAGTTTTTTTTCTGATAACAGCTCTCTGTTTTAGAAAGTTCTGGGACCAGGTAATAGTACTAATGGGAGCCAAGCAATATTCTCTGTTTTTTCTTCTGCTTGCATATCTTACTTATTATTCTTTCCATACACAGGATAGTTTTGTTTACTCTCCTATTTGCATAGTAGAAAATGGTGGCTCCTGTTACCTGACTTTATGATGTAGTCAGCCAAACAAAAGGTTAAGTTTAAAACCCTTTGGTCCAAATTTGTTATTCCCTAAAAGAGACTGTTACTAGCTTATCTTGATTCTTTTTTTTTTTCTACTAGCTCATCTTGAGATGAGGGATCCTCATAGCTGAAGAACAAGATTCATGTTATACAGATAAGACTGAAAAAAATGTGGATCACTTCGAATTTGGGGCCTGCTATCAGAGAAGGGGAGTCATCAGAGTATCACAGATTATCCAAAAAATGTTCACTACTAAAGCAATGGAAGTAGACAAGTACATTTAGAGAGTATACACATACTCTGAAGAACTGACATTTAAGGGTAGTGAAAGAGATCTACCAGGGAGTTTGAAAGAAAACCAGGTGTCTGATATTATACATGTGAAAGAATGCTTCGAGACAAAAATGATGATGGAAAGTATCAAAGGCTGTTAAAAGATTAAAAGAAAATGTCAGCCATGGATTTAGTGTCACCAGTTTCATGGCTTCCCCCAAATCCTGCCGTAGTTGAAGACAGAGCCAGGAGAATAAATGAGATTATTTGGGGATATTGTTTATAATTATGGAAAATGTGCTTTTTGGTTGAACAGATGGGTAGCGTGGGAAAGAATTTAAGTAACTGCTCCAAATCTCAACCTTAATCAAAATAATGTTAAAGACACAATGTAATTATAGTCATAGAAGAGTTAAAGCTGTTAGAAAGGAAAACAAATATAGAATTATCAAAAACATGTTAGTTAAAAAAAGATCTGTGAAATATATATAAATATATTAGATATATTGAGTTATATAGTCTTCCAAATAATCACATAAGTTAAATACAGTTCATAACAACTTCCACCATGAAATGTATGTCACCAGCAGCTCAAAAATACTAGGACTGGTTGTTCAATTCAAATATTGAAAATACCTTAATATGATGTCTATAAAATTTCATGCCTTATCCTTTAAAATGCTCCAGAGAATTAGAAAATAAAAAAAAATATTGTTTTCCTGTCAATATAATTTATTTGGACATAGGTTCCTAGCCAGATATAATGAAACAAAACATTGTTTGAAATATTATTTTTTCTTATGCAATATTGTTTTATTAATTGAATCACAATTTTTATATTGCTCACTAAAATCTCTCTAGTACTTAAAAAATAGTGCAAACAGCAAAACCCCACAAATAATTTTTAATAATTTATATATTATTATGTTTATTTATATGAAGTTTTGCTTTTTTCTCCTTAAAGTTGAATACTTTCAAAACACTATTAAACCAAAGGCTAAAAGAAAATTCTGTCAGGATAATTTTAACTAGAGAGTCAGTTTAGTTGTAAATTTTAATCTGGAAAACTTTTCAAAATTAGGAGATTTTAGTAAATTACATAGCTACAGTCACCAATGGTCTGCAGAAAATAAGGCAATGCCCATAAATGCAATGGGAAAGCATGGAAATTTTAAATATCGAAGTTGTAAGACATTTAACACCACATAGTCTCTACTCTTTGAAGTGGAAGCTAGGTCTATCCCAGTACAATTTGATGGTGAGGTATACATTGGTGTCTTTTTCATACAGAAATTATTTTTAATTCCAAAGTTAACATGTGAAAACATTAATAGTCTGGGTGAGATCCAATTGTCTGGACCAAAATGAAACTTGGTGTTAATTCCAAAATCTGATATGCTTATATTTGTTTAGTAGTTAGCTCACAATTACCCAAACTGTCCCATGTTTAACTGGAATAAATATGCTAAAGACATCAAGAGATCTTTAAGATAGATAGTATTATCATATTCAATATTTTTATCAGACTTTAATTTTTAGATTGGGTTTCAATGTTTTCCATAAGTGTCACTATGGCCATTGGACCATTGTACTGTCTAATGACAGAACTTGGTAAAATTTTCAGCTCATTGACTTCACATTTTAAAGTACCTTGTTCAGACTTCGTGTATTTACACAAAATAAATAGCAGACACTTAAATATTTGTTCAAGATTCAGATTCAAGTCTGTTAAAATCAGCAGTTATTATACTGAAATGATTAAATTTATTTGTCTGATTTTTCTTCCCCTGCATTCGTTGGTTTTTTAGAAATCTGTGATAGATTCTGTTTTTTATTTTGTAAACATAGCTTTCATTTGGCTTTGCATTATAAAATATCATGAATGTTTTGTAATTATTTAAGCATACTATCATCAATAGAGAGCAATTTTCATATGATTGTCAGGATATTCTGGTAATGTTGCCACACAAATTTAACTGGAAACATTTCTCAAAAGTCAAGAATAATGCTCTTGATAAAGGCAGGAGGCAGACAAATGCCTAGTCAGATATGGGTGGGTCCCTGGTGAAATCCCACCTCCAAGCCAAAGACAGTTTAAAGCCTGAATGCCAAGCTACAAGTCAAATCCATGGACCAGATTGAGAATCTGTCTTCTCGTTTGGTGTGTTTTCCTCTGGATTCCCGTCTTTCACTTATTTTACATATACCTACCTTTCTGTAATTGGTTTTTTACACTATTGTACGCATCTTTGGTGCTTTGTTTTAACCTTTTTTGCATACTCACAAATCAATCACCATGCACTCCCCATTCTGAGCCTATAAAAGCCCTGGACCCAGCCACAGTGAGAGAGAAATCACCTGATGCATGGGGGGCCACCCTCACATCCCCTTTCTGCTGAAAGCTGTTTTGCCGCTTAATAAAATTATTCTCTGCCCTCCTCACTCTCATTGTCAGCCTATCCTCATTCTTCTTGGATGCAGGACAAGAGTTCAGGACCTACTGAACATGGGTACAGAGAACGCTATAACATCATGGCCATCTTCCCTCCACTGGCAGACAGCAGCTGCTCCATGTGACAGAAGTGGCTGTAAAGCCAAGCCAGCCGCGAAGCTGCAGGCCAAGGCAGGGCAAGGGCATTGCCAGCTGGGTGTCTCCAGCTGGCAAGTAATCGAGAAAAATCCTGTGTCATTTTCTGTGGGCTCATCTGGGATCTGAGGTAGGGTGAGTAAATGTAAACTCCAAACTTCTTTTACTTTTGTTTCTGAGCCTTCTCCTCAGACATTTTCTGAGAACAGATGGCACACTGAGTCTCTGTTAGCCAATTAAGAATGAATGGCATGGCTGCAGAGGAGGCTGCCACCCACCCCCTAGTCACTCTCAGGGGTTGGGAATGTCAGTCTTGTTCCAATCCAGTCCGTCCGTCCTTCCTTCCTTCCTTCCTTCCTTCCTTCCTTCCTTCCTTCCTTCCTTTCTTCCTTCCTTCCTTCCTTCCTTCCTTCCTTTCTTTCTCTCTCTCTCTCTTTCTCTCTCCCTCTCTCTCTCTCCCCACCCCCCCCTTTCTTTCTTTCCTTCTTTCTTTCTGTTGTTGACAAGATCTCATTCTGTTGCCCAGGCTGGAGTGCAGTGGCACAATCTCGGCTCACTGTAGTCTTCACCTCCCAAGTTCAAGTAATTCTCCTGCCTCAGCCTCCCAAGTAGCCTGGATTACAGGTGTGAGGTACCCCACCTGGCCTCCAATCCAGTCTTTTCTTTTGCATTTTCCTTCTCTCTTTCATGGCACCTATCTCTTCTTCGTATATAATATTAAGGGTGTTGTTGCTAACTACAGAGATATTACTGGGTAGAATGAGCATCTGACCCAGCAATCAGCTATGCAATTTAGAACAATGTGGTTTCTGTCTATTCTTAGAGGCAAAGAGGATGCAGTGATTAAGAGTTTTTTTTTTTCTGTTGAAGAAACCCATTTGCATAGAGCAAGACACCAGACACCTTCCCCTCCCTGCACTTAAGCTGTTCTATTTTCCCTCTTTTCTACCATGTCAGGAGTTCACATAGTCCTGCAAATACAGGGAGATTTTCTATGAGAGGTCCCCAATTCTCAGGACTCCCTTTCTTTCCCTTGTTTTAAGAGGACCTGGTTCCACAGCTTCACCTTAGCATTCTGATTATGATAGGGAGAAAGTGTCAGCTGGACCTCAGCAGGGGGCACCACTGGTAACTTACTGGAGTTTGATGAGGGCCACCTGGAACTTAATGAGTTTATGAACCCTCCTGAGGCAGCTTTTTGTCCCAAACTCAATTCCAGGCTTTGGGTTGAAACCCTAGAAAGGAAAACTAGGTCTCAGGGATCCAAAGGCAGGCAACAACAGAAGTCAGGGGCACAGTGCAGATGATAGTCACTAATTCTTGCTGATTAGCCACCTTCCTGCTACCCCCATTTCATAGACAGAGTTCATGCTAGTATCCAAGGCATAGATGAGGTCTAGCGAACTCATAGGACACTGACAGTAGGGAGGATAGGTCAGTGCATAGGTAAGTGTGGGTATTCCTACCCTCTAACCCTCCCTACTACATAGGTGAAGGCCACAGTGGCACCCATGGGTAGCACTTACCAAGGTCACGGGGGCTTGGAATAAAAAGATGGAAGAAAGGGTTCACCTTTTCTTTTTCTCTCTCACACGCCCCAGGTATTTGCTGGGAAGAGAAAGGAACTAAGGGATGCCTTTTTTCCTCTTTCCACATGGGTAACCAATCATCTTTATATATTTTCTATACCACAGGACACTCCCCTCAGATGCATTCCCCAAACAGGGAAAAGTTTAATTTCCCCAAACCTTAAACTGCTTGGCTTATTAAGAAAATGAACTGGGAAGAAATTACAATTCACACTGAGAATCTCTTGAGGAAGGAAAACTTTTACAGTATGCAAATAGCCTTTTGTCTGCTCCCCCTTCAAAGGACTTCAGGGCAGATAGGGCTCCACAGCCTGGGGAAGGGAACCCAGAAGCCTGACTTGCTGGAAAAAGGGTAAAGTTTTACCAGTCATACTTCTGGCCTCTCTCTCTCTCTGTCTGTGAAAACCAGTTGAATGAATGACAAAAAAAATCACCATTTATATCCTCTTCAAAGTTTTGATTAATGGAAAAATGTATTTATGAGGCTAGTCTTAAGCTGTATCCAATCTGTTGTGCTTTGTGTGTCTTTCTGTATGGTTCTGTCATAAGGAGGGAATACCTTAGAATAGAACATGGGCTTAGAACCCCCATAAACCTGCTGTTCAAGCCAGCCCAGAAAACTGGTTAGTTACAAATTTTGCTACAGGTCTCTAAAAAAAACAAACAAACAAAACAAAAAAATGGGATGAGGTCTCCATCTTGTTTATGTCCTTGGGAGCCTGACCTTGTCTAACCACATGGCAGTACTTGTTTTTTGGTCTCAGCCATTTTACAATGGTGGCCCAGGTTCCATTTTGGCTTAGGGAATGAGTACTTTCTGGTTAATATCTGCGTCACTTTTGCCATTTGCTGATTCTCTTCCCCTCCATGAGCAACTTCTAGCTTCTCTTCTTAAATCTTCCTTTCTCTAGGCTACCTTTAAAGATTCTAGATTTTGTAAAAACTGCTTACCACCTCTTGGAAAATACCTTGTGTAGTCGTGGCTAAGTTATAACCTTAGTTGAGGTTTGTTGCTTTCACCTGAGATGTTAATTTTGGTAAAGTTTAAAAGTGAGAACTATTGACCATTTGCCATGGCTAAAGTCAGGTAATAAGAAATTTAGGAAGATTTTTTAAAAGAGCACTATGGTTAAAAGTCAGCTAAATTAAAAGTTGATATTCAAGCTATAGATGTATTTTAAAGTCCTTCGTTCTTCTCCTCTTGGATCTTTTTTTTCTGGAAAGAGGATTTTTTTCTTCTCAATTGAATTATTTTTTTCCATTTTGTCTTGCCACTCGTACTGCACACCAGAGGCCCTAAGATAATTAATGATAGCCTGGGACTGCTTGCAAAAAAAAGAGAAGACACCACGGACCCTGTTTTGGGAAAAACAAAAATCTGTTTTCCTTATGGAACCCCAATAATTAAAAGTGGATAGATCCCTCTCAAAATTAAGGCTCTGTTAAAGTGCATAATTTCCTAGCCCTGTTTTTTGAAGGGCTCTGCCCCGAGGCCAATGATCCAATTAGGATACTGTCAAATGAAAAATCTTACAACTACTGGATATTTTCTGTCTGTCTGTATAGTTATATATGTGTTGTGTGTGTGATGTTTATATAAAAAAAGAGCTCTAATTAATTGGCTTAAAGAAAAATAAGAGCTTAGATCAAATATTTTTAAAATAAAAGTAGAAGCTGTAATGACTTTTAGTTCATGTGACTTTTTTGGTAAATTAAAAATGTCATCAAAGTATAAACATGAGGTCTAAATTATACAGGTCAGATATTGGGTTTTCTATATGGTTTAAGGTCATAAACTGCTTCTTTGGCTTTTGAAAATAGTTCGACTTGTCTGCTTTACAGTTTGGTAAGGCCTGGGGACATATGGAGTTAACCATACTCCTAACTGTGCTTAAAAGAGTCAGACCTTATCTGCGCCTAGTACATAATCAAAATAACTTAGAAGATTTTACATCAAAATAAAAAATTGCTAAGAGTTACCATTATAACATGTAATTGAGACTACTGAAAAAAGATTTACATGCAAGGTGTGTAAGGAAAATAAAATATGTTTTTAGTAAAAGATTATAGGAAGGCATGGGAATGTAAATTTTTGCCTAGTTTAGAGAATTAAGGATTATTTTAAGTTAGATAAGATAAAGCTAAAGGTTTAAATAGTTTTGGAAGGATTATAAAAATTAATCTTGGCCAGGCACTGTGGCTGATGCCTGTAATTCCAGCACTTTGGGAGGCCAAGGCGGGTAGATCACCTGAAGTGAGGATTTTGAGACCAGTCTGGCCAACATGCAGAAACCCTGTCTCTACTAAAAAAAATACAAAAATTAGCGAGGAGTGGTGTTGCATGCCTGTAGTCACAGCTACTTGGGAGGCTGAGGCAGGGGAATCACTTGAACCTGGGAGGTGGATGTTGCAGTGAGCCAATATCATGCCATTGCACTCCAGCCTAGGTGACAGAGTGAGACTCCATCTCAAAAACAATAATAATCTTGTAAAAGAAATTCTGTGTGTGAACATAAATTCAAAAGGATATTATTTTTTTTTCCATAAATCGAGCATTGAAATAAAAGCACAAAGTTTTCTTAAGTCACTGATCTGCTCTTTAACAAAAAATTGTAAAGGATTATGAAAGGTTTATAAGAATCTCGCATCATGGTCAAACTGACTAAAACTGGGTATATTTGTGTATAAGGTTTCGTTTAAAAAATGGGGGTTAATGTTAACAGTAAACTAATGTAAGGGTGAAATCTGGCTTTGTCTCTCTTGAACAAAATTTGTACGTAACATTAAAGGATAATGAAAGATTCTTGTTTGCCTTGCAAATAAACTACCCCTCCCACAAAAAAAAGAGAGAGAAGGAAAATACAAGAGATAAATTGGAAAGCTACATCTTCCTTCTTAATGAGTAAAGGTTTTTGCCTTTTTAAAAAATTTTAAGTCATTATTTTGGCCAAATAAGTAAATTATGGTAATCTGGAATTCCATTTAATAATATCAAAGTGTTTTAAATCTTTAACATATTTGATAGATTTCCTAAAATCAAATTTCAGCTTCAAAAATGTCATTTCTGTCCCCTAACTTCTAGGTGCTACAGAGGGCCCCTAAATCATCCAAAACAGAGCTAAACAGAATTATTTGACATGTTTAGTTACATGGGATTGCCAAAATAAAAATAATCTTCAACCTTCTTATGGTTATAATTTTCATAAATAATATATGATCCAAAATTGTATGGGAGTCACAAAATTCTAATGTCTGAGTATATGCTATTAATCATAATTTGGGTTATTATGTTAAATTATTGCAAACCATAGAAATAACCAAATTTCTTTGTCAATTGTGTTTTTGACTGTAACTACCCTGAACATGTTGTCATTCACAGACAATTGTTGTCTTGTTTTAATCTTTTTCAAATGATGGTTAATAATAAGCTATAGAACTTTGCCAGGTGCTCTTAAATGCAGGTTTCTGATAACTTTGGAATAAAACTTGGAATAAAAAAAACTTTCAGGACTCATAAAGAGCCGAAATGTTCATGAATATCAAGCAGGACAAGAGTTAACTGAATGGACTGCATGAATAGAAAAATGAAGTAATCTTTTTTAACTTTGTGCTTAAAATGTTGCCAATCCTTTGTTTTTCAAAGTCAGGAAACTTTTATTTTGAGCTATTTACAGCTTTTAACAATTGAGTAAGGTGTACACCTGCTAACAAAATTTGGAGCATATTTGTTTCTCTCTGCCTGGTTTCTCCAAAATTTGGAAGCTATTTGTAAGTATTCTTAACTTATGGCAATATAGTTTCTTGTTTTTGTTTTTGTTTTTTGTTTTTTTGCATAAACGCAATAAGAATCCATTTTCTTCTGCAACAAGATGCAATTGGAGAAACTGGTTGTTTTACCAACACTTTGACTGGAAGGGTATGCTTCTCTTTAAGGAATCCAGCTTGACTTGCATAGCCAATAAAAGCCCCTTGGGAAAACTGGCCTTATACCTTGTCTACATACTCCCTGTACAGGGTTCCTAACCTGTGGTGCATAACGAATGTCACTTTCTAATAGGCCCATGAGCTCCAACTTATCTTGGGACCTCAAGAGAGGAATTTACTCAACTCATACATATTTGAGGGTACAAACCCATGTCTGGGCTTGGCTTTAAAAGGCCTTATCTCAGATTCATTGTGGAACAGAGTTCCATCAGAGCCAATTTAAAAAACCTTTGTGAAAATAATTATTCTTGCTGCACTTTATGCAAATAATCAGGCAAAGTATAAGACTAAAGTTTATTTTGCAAAGAATCAGTCCTATCATGATTTGTTTTTAACAAAAATGAGGACTGGAGAGAGAAAAAATATGTTTCAAAATGTATCATACACTTGTCATTAAATTCTAGTCTCATTAGTTGTTTTTAAGTATTTGTCTACATTTCAGACTAACCCTGCTTATTTCTGTGAACCAATCAGTGATCTCTGGCTGCAGCTCAGTAGAAACAAAAGGAATGGGTAATGTAAAAATCTGGATCAATATTGTAATTTTGGGCAATTATCCTGCAAATCCTGCCAGGTGATTAGGTAAATGGGATGCCCATAACCTGGAGGTTTCTGTTTAAGAAAATAAGACCAAGGAAGCTAACAAAAGGCAAGCACCAAACACCCAAATCTTAGCAGGCATAACTATAGCCACTAGTTACCTTGGCATGTTGGCAGTCTAAGGATTTTTGAGCTGTCTTTAGCCCCATGTTCTGTTTTAATTCATGTCTTCTAATAACACAGTTTGTTTTTCTCACCTTCAGGCCATCAAACTCCAAATGATAATGCAACTTGATTTTCAGTTGATGGCTCCCTTTTCCTGGAGACCCTTAGATAGGCCTGTAAGAAAAATCTGCCATCTTCCCAAAACAGCACTGCCTGTAAGCAGGAAAGAGTTAAGATGGGTCATCATCGTTATCCTAATGGTAGTTAGATGTACCTCTTCAGAGCAGGGAATGATAGAGGCAGGAGGCAGACAAGTGCCTAGGCAGATAGGGGTGGGTCCCCAGTAAAACCCCACCTCCACGCAAAGGACAGTTTAAAGCCCAAAAGCCAAGCTGCAAGTCAAATCTATGGACCAGATTGATAATCTGTCTTCCCATTTGGCATGTTTTTCTCTGATTGATTCCCACCTTTCACCTATTTTATATATATCTACCCTTCCCTAATTGGTTTTTTACACTGCCATGCCCACCTTTGAGTGGTGTCTTTGTTTTAACCTTTTTTGAATACTCACAAACCAATCAGTGTGCCCTCCCCATTCTGAGCCTATAAATGCCCTGGACCCAGCCACACTGAGATAGAAACCACCCAATGTCGGTGCAGCCCCTCTCTGCTGAGAGCTGTTTCGTCACTCAACAAAATTATTTTCTGGCCCCCTCAGTCTTTGGTTAGAAGCGTATCCTCATTCTTAGACATGAGAGAAGAGCTTGGAACCCACTGAATGTGGGTACAGAGGAGGCTGTAACATAGTGGCCCTCTTCTCTCTGCTGATGGAGGGCAGCCGCCCCACATGACAGAAATAGTGGGGGAGTTGAGCCAGCCCCAAAGCTGCAGATCGAGGAGAGGCAAGGGTCTTGCCAGCTGGGTATCTCCAGCTGACAAAAGTGATCAAGAAAAATCCTGCATCACTCTGATGCTAGACTCATTTCAACTTAACAGAACTCAGGTGCTCCTTCTTTTCTTTGCCCACCTCTCAAACACATACATACTTCAGTTTGAATACCCTCAGTTTATTTCTCAATCATCTCAAATTCTCATATCTATTCTGTTAATCTCTTCTTATTCTCAGCTCTATCAATTTCCTCACTTTCAGGTTTATAATAGCATATTTCACCTTGCTCCCTTAAACTTCTATTTTAAGCAAATGTCCACATTGTTAATTAATCCTTTCTCTTCCTTACTTTAATATTTATATTCCATCAATGATATCACTTTTGCAGTCCTTTCAAAAGAAGGTCACTTTTTCCATTTTTTAGTCTCATTGCCCCTTTCTATTTCCACATTACACTTGTACTAAACTCCCTTGACTTTGAGGTGTCTTTACTCCAAGATTATTCCATTATTTCAACTCTCAGTTATTACCCTACCAAAAGAAATCATCACCTTCTTTAATGACTTTATTATTTGGGTCATTCACTACTCCTTTCTCTGTCTTGTAACTTCAGGATCCACATCAATGATCTTTATAAAATCCTCTTTTCACAGATTTACTTGATGTCTTCAAACCATGAAGTTTGTCTTCATTTTTCAGCTATTAGCAAACATGGCTACAATTTGGATTGTCATCCCATGAAGCACATCTACAAAAATAGGCTGAATTTTCATTCTTAAATACATTTAGTCATTCCAGATTTTTTATCTACTCATTCCTGATAAGCTTGATGTTGGCCTTTATGCTAACCCCTATTCCACTGACTGCTCTCTAATTTCCAATTCCATATCTCTCTCCTAGCCTTGTAGCCTCTTTTCCAAGCTCACACCCATGATCAACAATTTCAACTTTCCCTCCAATAGTGCCCTACAATTCCTTATTAATCCATTACAAATCTGTAGTGACCACATTGCCATTGCCAACCCCAATTAAAGCTGAAACTACCTTTGCAAAACTTATATCAGTGAGAAAAATTATAATACTAGGCTGACTTTTCTTGCTTTTCCCTTAATTATTCCCCAAATTAACTTTGGAAGACAT
Source organism: Homo sapiens (assembly GCF_000001405.40). Classification (NCBI taxonomy): domain Eukaryota; kingdom Metazoa; phylum Chordata; class Mammalia; order Primates; family Hominidae; genus Homo; species Homo sapiens. Next base: position 110,832,071 of record NC_000005.10, read on the forward strand.
TTAGGCTGTAGTTTAAATGATAATAGCCTTGCCCGAAGACTTGACCACTTTTGTAAAGTTAATGAGAGGCCATCAAGCTGGGCGGAGGAGAGAAGTCTGAGTCCTGCTAAGGTGTAGGCATAAAGGATTATCAGCCATTATTCTGGAGGTCATAAGAGATGCATCTACCCCAATTAATCTTGCAAATAACACTACTATTGTAGATTTGCCTTTTGAGAAATCTTTCCAGGTTTTTGGCATGTCTGATACCCATGGCTCCACCTGGACTCTGCTCCTGTGGCCCCACTCAGAGGCGATTCAGCCCACAGGAGGACAGCTTTCACCCTCTATGATTTTATCTCCACCCAACCAATTAGCAGCAAGCATCTGTTATCTGGCCACCCGACCCCGTCCTCCAAACTGCCTTTGAAAAACCCCTAACCTACGAGCTTCTGAGGAGATGATTTGAGTACAAACTTCGTCTCCCACACGACTTGTCCATCCTAGTGTCTACTAAACTCTTTCTCTACTACAATGCTGTAGTTTTTCATTATGCATGGGCAGGAAGAACTCCTCAGGCAGTTACAAATTCAGTACTGTATTTTCTTTTCTCTCCCCTGGAGTACCAATGATTCCTGGAGACACACTTCAGTTTTATTCAATTACTTCCTCTTCAAAACTAAATGTACTCAATATGAGCTAGGACCTCAATATTCTTCAATAGGTTTTTTCATTATTCATGCAAAACTGATTCTATGTGGATTTCTGCGTCATGGCTATTACAAACTTACTCCTTGTTTCACTCTCACAACGCTCTAAATTTCACTTCCTTATCCCTAGTGACCTTCATTACATTTCAACCATTTAGTTTCATGGCTGCGCCCTAAATCTAATAGTCACTGAGAACTGCTCTACTTCTGAAATCATGAATTCAGACATCCTCCTTTCTAACTGCAAACCCCTAACCCTTCAGCTCATTCCCTTTATTATTTCACTACATGGTGCAGATCAGGTGATTACGTAGCATAGTAGTTAATGGCATAGGCTCTGTAGCCAGATTTCCTGAGTTCTAAATCACATCCCTACCACTTACTATATATTTTGGGTCCTCAATTGGCTCATCTATACACAAGGAGGAAATAACATCTGACTCACAGAGATTTGGAAATCTCTGACAGGTGGAAAATAACATTCATTGAATATATATTATATGTCAGGCACTATTTTACAAGCTTTAAAAATATGAATTAATTTAATTTCAAATAATCCTGTGAGTTAGATGGTATGTACTAACTTTCTGACTATCTATAAGCTCCATTATCCATGTTTCTGTCATTTTCTTTTCAGTATTGTTTTCATGGCATTTAAATGTCTTGGTAATCATCTCAACTATCTTTTTATTGCACCAATCTGGCAATATCACAGTTCTGGATCAATCCAAGAATTTACGTTGTCCATTACAACATGTAAGTGACTAGATTTTGTAGAAGAGTTACATTAGCATACATATTGCTAAAACTATAAATTCATATGATATACTCAGACTTCACCAAAGTCCTGTGCCAATGACTTCTCCTATTTAATTTATAAAATAGAAACATAAGAATTCCTGATCTATAACCTGAAAAAATATTTTCATCCTCAGTTAAAAAGTTAAAAAAAGAGGAGAATAATCTTGCTTAGACTTAATTCCTTTACATGCTATTTGGATGTCATCTCTTCCATCTACTCAGGATCTCCTCTCACACCTAAAATTTACCATTTCCCTCCACAGGCACTTTTGAACTAGTATTTAAATATACTCTGTGTCTCCCATCATAAAAGTATAAAACAGAAAACTTCTCCAGATTCCATGTCTTCCTTCAGCTCCCAGTCTATGTCTCTCCATGTGTCTTCCCCTTCAGAAACACACTTCCTGCAGTTCTTGTGTCAAGATATTCTTCTCCCTATAATTCATTTAAAAACCCATCACAATCTGGCTTCGACCCCAACTCCACCAAAATCATCTCCATAATTTTTTCATGATTAGAAAGAACAACTTTATATTAAATTCAAGTGACACTTTTCAATATTGACCTTGGCTACAGTTGATCCTATTAACTTCACATTCTTTCTTCCAAGGCTTTCTTCTCTTGCCTCTAAACATACTCCTCTCTTCAGGTTTCCAATTACTACTCTGACTTCTCTCATTCAATATTTTTTGTGAAGTTTTCTTTTGACTTTCTCTAAAATGTTGGTATTCCTAAGGATTCTGTCCTAGACCCTCTTCTCTTCTTTCTCTACACAGTTGTACTCAGTAATCTCATCTACTCCTATGACTTCAATTCCATCCTATACAGCAAGTCCTTGAATAGCATTGTTGCATTCAATGTTGTTTGGTTATATGTTGATGAGAAAAAAAAAAAATCAGTTTCTGGCTAGATCCACCATCTGTATGGAGTTTGCACATTCTCCCCATGTCTGCGTGGGTTTTCTTCAGGTACACTGGTACCTTCCAAAAATGTGTATGTCATGTGAACTGGCATGTCTAAATTGTCCCAATCTGAGCGAGTGTGTGTGTGTGTGTACCTTGCAATAGGATGGTGTCCTGTCCAGGATTGGTGGCCACCTTGCACCCTGAGCTATCAGGATAGGCTATAGCCACCCTCAATTCTGGGTAAATAATTATCTTTCCTGTTTTTATTAATCATTCTTAAGCATGTATAGCTCACATTTATTTCAATGTTTACTATTAGTGTTTTGGTCTTCATTGAGAAGTTTGGTAAAGTTTTTGTGACTAGAATTATACCATAGGAACTTTTGTTTATATAAATTTGCTTGTGGTAAAATGGGTTTTGTTACACATTGTTTTGCTTAAAGTTGCAGTTTTCAGTAACCTGTCAACAATATTGTGAGAACTTGCTGTTGTCTGATTAATCTAAACTTATCTCCCTCTCATTTATCTTTCCTGAGCTTTATTCATTAGTAAATAGGCTTACTCAATGGCTCACTCAATACCTCTGAATTTCCTACATGCACATGAAACTGAACATAGAAAAAAAAAAAAAACAGATCCTTATCGTCTTGTGCAAACCTGCTCCTCCCCAGTACTCTATAACGTAAGTTGTCACTTGTTTAAATTAGAAACCAAGAGAAATGCAAATCAAAACCACAATGAGATACCATCTCACATCAGTTAGAATGGCAATCATTAAAAAGTCAGGAAACAACCGGTGCTGGAGAGGATGTGGAGAAATAGGAACACGTTTACACTGTTGGTGGGACTATAAACTAGTTCAACCATTGTGGAAGTCAGTGTGGTGATTCCTCAGGGATCTAGAACTAGAAATACCATTTGACTCAGCCATCCCATTACTGGGTATATACCCAAAGGACTATAAGTCATGCTGCTATAAAGACACATGCACACGTATGTTTATTGCGGCACTATTCACAATGGCAAAGACTTAGAACCAACCCAAATGTCCAACAATGATAGACTGGATTAAGAAAATGTGGCACATATACACCATGGAATACTATGCAGCCATAAAAAATGATGAGTTCATGTCCTTTGTAGGGACATGGGTGAAGCTGGAAACCATCATTCTCAGCAAACTATCTCAAGGACTTCAATTATTTCCTCTACCCCTTTCCCATCTTTTCTTTTCTCTTCTTTTCTTCCCTTTCTTCCTTTCCTACCTTGTTCACTCTCTCCCTCCCTCCACCTGTCTCTTTCTTTCTTGTATTTTCTTTATGCCTATGTTACATATTTTATAACTGTCTATTCCATTTTGAGGAGTTTATATTTTTTATATCTTTAAGTTCATTAATTCTTTCCTCAGCAATGTCTGGTGTCACATTCAGCCCACCAACAGCATTCTTCATTTCTATTACGGTGCTTTTTCTTTTGTTTTTTTCTTAGAGTTTTCATCTCCCTTATTACATTACCCATCTGTTCTTACATGTTGTCCACTTTTTACATTAGAGACTTTAGCACACTAATCAGTTACTTTAAATTCTTGGTCTGATAATTCCAAAGTCCTTAATGTCTGACTCTAGTTCTTATGTTTGCTTTGTCTGTTCAGACTATGATATTTTGTTTGTTTTTGCCTCTCACAGCCTTGAAAATGTTTTCTGAAAGATGTACAGAATGTATTGGGTAAAAAAAAAAATGATGTGAATAGTCCTTTAGTGTGAGATTTTATATTTATTTGGCTGAGTTTGACATTGTTTACTGTTTGCTATAGCTGTGGTGTCAGGGGTTAAAATTTCCTCTAGTGTCCTTATTTTTGTCTCCTCTGTAGTCTTTGGTTTTTCTAATGATTCTTTCTGGCTGGGCTCAGTGGCTGATGGCTGTAATGCCAGCACTTCAGGAGGCTGAGCGGGGAGGATTGCTTCAGCCTAGGATATTGAGACCAGCCTGGGCAACATGGTGAAACTCTATTTTTACAAAAAAATGCAAAAGTTAGCCAGGTGTGGTGGTATGCACCTGTGGCCCTTTTCCTGGACAGAATGAGGTATGTCTGCGTAGTCTCATGGTCCAATAACAAGATGCAGATGGACTGGGAAAGAAGAGAATTTATTTCTGTAACCCACCACAGGGAAAAGGTGGAAGAAATTCACCAGACTAACTCAAAGTTACAAGATTTTCTTCAGTGCTTATATACATTTTAAGCTCTATGCATATGGATGGGAGTGCACCCACAGGCAGTATTGTTTTACTTAATCTATATCTAATCTTTAACTAGGGTCTAGGGTCTGGAATGTTTTCTCTAAAACCTTGGAAAGTGTAATCTTAAGTGGACCCTAGTACAAGGTGTATGTGTAAAAATGCTTTTATCATTAAATCAGGCTATAGGGTCTGATAAAACCCAGGCAGGATCTTAATGGATTTGTTTTTATATTCCAGCCCTCATATTCAGGCACAGCTTCAACAGTTCTCTAATGTTTAACTTATGCATTCATCAGAATTACAGCCAAGGGTTAGTGGACGCTGGATGCTCTGACTGCTAATGGAAATCTGGCTTGCCACAGTCCCAGCTGTAGCAGGAGAATCCCTTGAGCCCAGGAGGCCAAGGTTGTAGTGAACTGTGATCATGCCACTGCACTACAGCCTGGATGTGACTGTGCCACTGCACTCCAGCCTGAATTTATTATTAAGTAATAATAAAATAAATAAATATTCCTTCTTAAATAGAGCCAGAGTCTTACAGCTCTTTCAGCTATACCTCCTATTATTCCACAAAAGTCCTATTGATATGGTGGTAGAATATGAGGAAATGAGAAGCATTTTATAATCCTATGATTATATCTCAGTCTTTTAGAAAACCTGTGTCCCTGGGCTGTGACCTTCACAAGGGCTTCTCAGCTTTTTAAAAAAATTCATTACTTAGGTGAGATAGCAAGGCCAGAGAGGACTTTATTTGGGTGTTTCCCTTCCCCAAAGAAGGGAAAAATTACCAAATCCAAGTCCTCTAGGACCCACTCGGGTCAGTTAGGCTCTGGCAAAACTCAAGTTTGTTAGGTTCTGATAAAATATTTTTCTAAGGGTAGACCTTTGTTAAGGAGAACAGAGAGCTCTGGATATATTTTTAAATGGTTATAGTTTCCCTTCCCCTGCCAGAAGCATGAATAGATTTTTCTTCAGTCTTCACAATAAGAACCAGGCGGGGATCCTATAGGCAAAGCTCATAAAAGTTTGGGGACTTCCAAAAATACCTTCCAGAATTTTTAATTCTCAAGCTAGTCTACACTGAGCCTCTAGAATTTATCAAATAAAGTTCAAGTATTCCTACTGATGCTGGCTCCATCTGAAAGCTTTTTCTCCTGGGCTGCTGCTTCCAGTAAGGTAAGTTAGGGTTCTTTGTAACCCCCTTCCCTCCAGTTTTCAGGGCAGCAGTTTGTCCTGTGACCTCAATTCTTTGTGGGCCTAAAAAGGGATCTTGATTTTCAGTTTGTTCAATTTTCTTTTTGTGGTGAGGACAGGAATGATGACTTTCAAGCTCTTTTCATGTCAGACTAGAACCTGGAAAAGAAAGACTCATATGCTTCCTTTTAATCAACGTATTTACTTCACTTTGGTTCATTCATTCTTATTGCCTGTATTAGTCAGGGTTATCTAGAGGGACAGAACTAGTAGGATATATGTATATATGAAAGGGAATTTATTAAGGAGAGTTGACTTACATGATCACAGGGTAAAGTCCCACAATAGGCCATCTGAAAGTTGAGGAGCAAGGAAGCCAGTGGTGAATCAGTCCAAGCCCCAAAACTTCAAAAGTAGGGAAACTGACAGTCTGTAGCCAAAGACCCAAGAGCCCCTGGCAAACCACAGGTGTAATTTCCAAGAGTCCAAAAGCTGAAGAACTTGGAGTCCGATATTCGAAGGCAGGAAGCATCCAGCACAGGAGAAAGATGAAGACCAGAAGACTCAGCAAGTCAAGTTCTTCCACGTTGTTCTGTCTGCTTTATTCTAGCCATACTGGCAGCTGATTGGCTGATGTCCACCCAGATTGAGGGTGGGTCTGACTCTCCCAGTCCACTGACTCAAATGTTAATCTCCTTTGGCAACACCCTCACAGACACACCCAGGAATAATACTTTGCATCCTTCAATACAATCAAGTTGACACTCAATATTAACTATTGCATCACTCAACATTTCATTTTTTTCCATATTCAAACATATCTTCATTCATAAGCTATGCCTTCAAATGCAATGATTCTCTGTAATTATGGAGTCATGAGGTAAGTAGAGATCAATAGAAAAATTCATAAAAAGGAAACATTCACTGAAGAATCACTTCTTGCTTTTGTGAAAAGAGCATTTAGGGAAGACTCTTCTTCAGTTCTTTTTTAAAAAACTATCATTTTGTATATTTTGTTGTTAGAATTATGTAGCCTTATTTTTAGTGGCATGATAAATTTAAATGCTCAGCATTAACTATAAACACTATGGGGAAAACTTACAAGCAGAGAAGTTGCAGAGTGCACAGGTCCCTGAACTCTCATTACACTGACAGACAGAGAGCGTCACCCTACTCTTCTTCTGCAGCTTGGACATAATTTTATTTTTGGCAATATGTGGTCATATACATTTTGAATTTTTTTAATCTGCTATAAAATTTGGAAATTCCTAAGAAAATGAACTGTATTTTAACCATGCACCTGGCACGCAGCCAGCAGGCAGTTGCATTCAGTTATTGTTTCTTGAATAGACGGATGAAAATAGCAAATGCATTTCCTATGTTACAATATGTCACTTCCATATTTTTCCATTAACATAACATTTTATCCTTTACATAAAAGTATTACAAATATCATTACCTGATCATTCTTCTTATTGAGTGATTTTAATATTTTTCGTTTTATTTTTCTTTTTGCATGATTTATTTTAGGATATTACATTTGCATTTGAAAATCTGATGTTGTGCTTCTTCTTCCTCAGAAATGCTCATAAAACTACACACATGGTGTTTTATTTATAGTTGCAAGGTCAAAACTCCTTCCAGCCCTAAAATATTTTTCAACTCTGGACAAAGGACTTTGGTTCTAAAAGTACTGTTAGCATATTCCACGATCATTTTTCCTCCTCTCCTGTTCCTTCCCTTCCTCTTCCTTCTTTCCCTTCTATTCCAAGTATATAATAAAGTGTACAAATCTTGTTTACAGCATAATGGTATTTTTCATATTGGTGCATTCATGTAACTATCACTCACATAAAATATAGCTTTGCCAGTACCCTCGAAAAACCTCTTGTCCCCCTAACTGTCAATACCCTCATTTGGAATTAAAAACTACTCTCTAAGATCACTGATGGATTTTACCTATTTTTGAATTTCATATAGATTGAATTATGCAGTATATATTCTTATATCTGGCTTTGCTTCCTTACCTTTATGTCATTTAATAAACTAGTAAGAGTAAATAAACTAGTGATACACAGGTCACCTATGTTACTTGTGTATCACTAGTTTATTCATTTTTACTTCTCTGTACTATTTCATTACGATATGAGTATACAACCAGTTATTTATCAGTTTATTTTTTGATGTGAGTTTGGATTGTATTCATCTGTTGACTATTATTTGCTGTTATGAACACGCGTGTCTTGGTTGAAATGCACACTCTTTCTCCTAAGTTTGCACCTACAAGTGGAATTGCTAAGACAGGCCAAGCTTTATGATCATGCCACCAGTCTAGCAGAGTCCTGAGCTTAGAAGAGCTCCTTGCTTGGGGCTTAATGCTTTGCAATTGCCATGTTGAATTCCTTAATAATTTTATCTTTGAATTTGTGGAAGTAAAGTCTGTTAGAACAATAAAGAGTGTGCTGAGGCCTGGAACCTTGGCTCCTGCCCTGTCCTGCCTCACATAATCTTTTTGTTTGTCCCCCTGAAATGGATTCTCAGCTGTTGCCCAAACATTTCATCTTAGCGTTCCAGGTTTGAACTCGCCCTCACTGCCTCACCCAGAAACTGCTGCTTTTCCTCTCCTGTGTTGTGACGGAGCCAGGAGCGGTGGGCCAGAGCCAGCAGTGCTTGCAACATGGCCTCTCTAAACATGGAATGGTGGCAGCACTCCTAGTCCAGGACTGGAGGTGACTCTGCGGGAATGAGCCCCTTGCCTAAAGTCAATTCAGGAACCTAGCATGCCTCTGCACAGGGGTTAAAATAGCCTTGGAGGTTGCCCTTCTTCTATTGTGGTAGGGGTGGGGTGGTGGCCTGTGGTTAGGGTAGATGTCTGGCTCAATTTCCTTGCTCTGGGTGGGACACAGCATGTTGGTTTCCTGGTTAAGCACGGGACTTGGCAGGGGTGGACTTTAGTGGGCTGGGCGCATGTGCTGAGTAGTGGTGTGGGACCCTCAGGCACCTACTAGGGTTTGCACTTACCCTACTATTATCCCCATGCCCAGGAGAGTGCAATATTAAATAGCAAGTAAAAACACAAAACACATGACAAGTCAAGAAAGAAAGATCACAGAAGAAAGAAAACAGTTTTATATTTTTAATAACTGCAATAGTGCTTTTCCCCTGTTACTTCTTATTTAATTTTACAGGGAGCTGCCCAAACATGTATCCAATGCTATGTTGCATCATAGAGTACATGTATGTTTATCTTTTGTAAATAATACCAAACAGTTTTCCAAAGCAATTTTGCCATTTTCTATTTCCATCAGGAATATCTGAGTTACAGATGTTCCAAATCCTTGCTGATGCTTGATGTTTTCAGGGTTTTAAATTGTAGCATAATGACTACATACAATGAGTTGGTTTTCAGAGTTATCTTAGTCTATTTACAATTAGCATTTCCTTGATGACTAATGATGTTGAATACTTTTCCATATGCTTTGTTGCCATTTAGACTTCATCTGATAAGTACCTTCCCAACGCCTGTGATTGATCACTAATTTTTATGAATTTTTTTCTATATGCCACCCAGTTGATCCGGTATCATTTTTGAAGAGACTCTCTTTTCTCCACTGAATTGAAGTGACATGTGGATCTGCTTTTAAGTCCTTTCTTTTCTTTGATCCATATATCTATTCCTTCATCCATATGCCTTAATTGCTGACAATTTATAGTAAAACATGGCATCTGTTAGTGCAGCTCCTCAATTTTGTTCTTACTCTTTCAGATATTTTTGTATTCTCGATTCCTTATATTTTCATATAAAATTTAAAATCATCCTATCAATTACACCAAGGAAAAAAGCTCCTGGGATTTTTTATTGGGATCATATTTTATTTTTAGGTTATTTAAGGGTAAAAGACATCTTCACAAAATAAGTATCCTAATCTGTGATCATGACAGAATTCTCCATTTATTTTGGCCCTCTGGAATTTCTGTCAGCAATGTTTGGTAATTTTAGTATATAGGTCATTGACACTTTCATTCCAAATACTCCTTAAGTTAAACTTTGAAATATACATTTTATATTTCTCTTTCCTAAATAAAATTTACATGTGACTCATTGCACTTGGTAAATATGTTACAGTACTAATGGTGATATACAAATTCAGTTTCTAAAAGCATTACAAGTTGTATTTGTTGCTATAAATTGAGATTTGAGGCTGTATCTGCATGTAAGACCAATTAATCATGTCAAATTATTATTAAAAATCAGTGAACATATGACTTGAAACAAAGACCCAGAAGGGGCAATGACTTTCTTTCAAAGATCTTTTGTATAGTCTCAGGTAGGAAACTATTAGTAACAGACAGATGTTGAGCTAGTCCTATTTAGATATGAAATGAGCGCACACACACACTCACACACAAACACACACACACAGCAATTCTCAAAAATCATCTCCAGCAAAGTTGAAATAGAATTAATTTTTGCCAAACCAACCCTAAGAGTAAATATCTCTCAACAAGTTGCAATGCATGCGTATACGACACCTGAAACAAGGCTGAGGTAAGAGCTACTAGACTTGAGGTGAACAAAAATAAGGAGACCTTGCCAGAGAAACAGGGAAAAATTCTTTTTGCACACCAAAGGAAAGCAACCTAATCATATAATTTTTGTCACATTGTATTTGGATTATGGAAAAGTGGATAACTAGATTCAATTCAAATAAAAGACCAAGAATGAAATTCTTTGAGTTGCCTAATAGTAATAATAAGAATACAGTTGGCCCTCTGTATCCACAGGTCCCACATCTGTGGATTCACCCAACTGCAAATCAAAAGTATTTGAAAAATCCTTGAACTTAGGGGCAAAGGAAAAAAAAGTATTGAAAAAAATAAAGAAACAAAAACACAACAATAAAAAATAATATTTTAAAAACCAATACAGTATAACAACTATTTATATAGCATTTATATTTTTAGGTACTGTTAGTAATCTAGAAATAATTAAAATATATGGAGGGATTTGTACAGGTATATGCAAATACTATGCCATTTTTTTCAAGGGACTTGAGCATTGATAGATTTTGGTATCCTTAGGGGTCCATCCACACCAAGGGACAACGGTAATTTTATTATTTTTCCAGGCAGTATTCTAAATATTTGACATACATTAGCTCATTTAATCTTCACAGTATCTGCATGAGGCATGTGTTATTATCATCACAGTGCTCGAGATATGATTGAAACCAGAAAGTTGACTTCAGAGACCATGCTCTGAAAAGGGGAGAGTACCTCAAATGTAAGGTGAGAAGCCGCAAAGTTTAAAGATTAACTGAATTATGCAAAATTAAACAAAGAGAAACAATGCATACATAGCCCATTCTTTCCTTTTCTTTCTTTTTCTTTTCCTTTTTTTTGAGACAGGGTCTCCCTCTGTCACCCAGGCTGGAGTGCAAAGATGCGAACATGGCTCACTGTAGCCTCAACCTCCTGGGCTCAAGTGATCCTCCTGCCTCAGCCTCCTGAGAAACTAGGACCACAGGCACATGCCACCACACCTGGTTAACTTTTAAATTTTTTTGTAGAGATGAGGTCTCACCATCTTGTCCAGGATGGTCTTGAACTTCTGGACCTCTGCCTTAGCCTCTCAAAGTGCTGGGATTACAGGCATGAGCCACCACACTCAACCTACATCCCATTCTTTCTTACAACCAGACTTTTTTGGTATTGTCCTCTTACCCCTCAATTGTCCAAATCTTTGCACATATCTTATAATGTATATTTAAGTCAAACATTCTCTACAAAACCTTACCTCACATTGATATTCACTGTTAACCTCCTCCCTCCAAAATGTTTGTGTGGCATTTAAGGCCATAGCCCTTAAATGAACCAGAAACTTGCTTTCAGAATAATCTACTTAGTAACAAAGAAAAATCCCATTTGCATTTTTATTAAGAATGAACATTATCTTCAGGGATACTGTGGCAAAGTTTTATGGCTAATGAAAGAAAGCAGCTTCAGACAAGAAGGAATTCCATTTAGATAGGAATGTTTTGCATTGCTCCTTTGATGGTTTCAAGAAGAGGAGACAAAACTAAACAAAGTATAAATACCTTAAACTTCCTTTCTTCCTCGATAGTAAGCAGACATACTGTATGAAGTCTATCTAAAAATCTGACTTTAGAATTGCCTTGATAAACAAAATTACTCAAGTCATATCTGTGCCTTTCCATTCATTAAGAGAAGGATAAGGTGGGCAAAATATTAAAAGATGGAACAAGTAAGAGATTTGACTATTGGGTAAATGTTATTAAAGGAAAAATGAAGTCTGAATTTTTGTCCAGTGAACACCAAACATCAAGCATCTCTTGAAAAGCTACCCAAAGCACCATAATATCAAAGATAAGAGTGAATTGTATCATGAAAAGTAAAAATATGGCCCCACCTTTGTCATCACCTCTCCTTCTTGTTCCTCATCATCCCCACTACAATAAAAGGAACAATTTAAATATAAGTCTGAGACTGGACTTGGCTAGCTTTTCCTGTGTTTACACTAAGACTATAAACATGGTCCACAGTGAATCAGCCCTCACCAAGACTCTAGTAAAACCAGCATTGTATCAGCTCTGGTCAGGGTATGAAGTATTGGTTATTATGGGATGAATTGTGTTTCCCTAAATTAATATTTTGCTTTTGTAACTATCAGCCTCAAAATTTGACTTTATTTGGAGATAGATTCTTTAAAGAGGTAATTAAATTAATATGGAGTCATTAGGGTGGTCCCTAATCCAATATGACCTATATTCTTACAAGAAGAGGACATCTGGTTGCAGACCCACAGAGATGGAAGAGCCCGGGAAGACAAGGTAGAAGATAGCCATCTACAAGCCAAGGAGGGAGACTTCAGAAGAAATCAACTCTGCCATCACCTTGATCTCAGACGTTTATCCTCTAGAACTGTGGTGTACTATGCTATGGCATCCCTAGCAAACTAATACATAGGTGTTGGTATAAAGAGAGCCAGGAGAAGAAGGTTTTAAATAAAGAGGAGAAGTAGATTTTAAATAAAAAGTGGGTTCCAAAATTCAGAAGAAAAACATTGAACAAAATAATTCTAAGATTAGCAACATTCCAGTGGACCAAGGTTGTCAGGAAAAGCTGTCTGAAGGGCTTGAGTACAGGTTTATGACCTAGGCAGATGACCATGTGCTAAAGCACAGATAGTAATTTTTTTCCTAATGAAGATGAGGAAGCAGAAAAATAAATCAATATCTATCTCTCTTACTCTTAGCTCACTGAATTAGCCCTTGTTGCCCAAGATTCCCAAAGTAGAGAGGAACGTAGAGTCCTGTTGTCTTATCTCTTCTCAGGAACTTTACTGGCAGTATTTGTGGCTTTTCCTTCTCTTCCGTATCCAGCCTATTGATTGTTTAATTTGACAAGTATTGACTGAGTGCCTGAGAAAGACTGGCTAGTGTTATTGATAGAGCAGGAGCAGACATGCACTCATGCTCATGGGCACACACTCACTCCTCGTGATTGTCAAGTTTTCAGGGAAAGTCAAGAACACTCACAAGAACATAAGGCATCTACTGAGGATTCCTGGAATCAAAGTCACCTCCTAGTTATGACCTTTAGTCACATTTCAGGAGTTATATTCCTGCTTGTCATTCATGGTTGAGCTTCCCATAACAAAGAAACGTATCCTTTTTTGAACAAGCTGCCATATTGTTCAATAATTTAACATTTCGTTTAAGACTGAATTGAGCTGAAATAAATACCTGCTGGATTTAATGTGATTGGAATTCACTTAAATCACCTATCAACAAAATCTAAATTTAGCTTTTGTTTCAGTGTAATAGCTTTTACTAAGATTTCTCCACTAAAGCTGTGTTGGTTATTTTGTTTCACTTTTTTGTGTGTAAATAACAGTCATTTTGATTTGATGTTTTCTCTCAGTAACTGTTTATGTTACTGAGAGAAAGGGCATGCTTTTCCCCAAAGAATTTTCATATTACAGGGTTAAAATTAAATAGACTGGACTATCAGCTAATCAACCACTACTTAAGCTGTATAATAAGAAAATATATAATTATTTATTATTTCACCCAGCAAACACTTAATGAGAACCTACCATACACCAAGTATTGTGCTAGGCTCTAGGGATTCAACAGTTTACTAACAGACATATATTAGCATTCATGGAGTTTAAATATTGTTGAGAATCCAGAAAGAAGTAAAATATTCCAAAAAATGTGGAATATATGTTATAAAACAAAAGTATAAATTCATAAAGCCAAATATGATGTTTATTGTAAAACTAGTTGCACTATCAAAACAAATATGATGACAAATTAAATGACCATCAATTATGAAAGAGTTAAACAAATTTTGGAATATCCAAACTGTGGTATATTCTGCAGCCAATAAAAACATGATCTAAATGTCATGACTTGAAAAGATGTTCTGAGTATATTCATACATTAAATAATAAAGCAAGTTGAAATCACAATGATCATGTAAGAGTTGCCTTGCCTCAGTCAGTCAAGCTATATATCATGAAAAATCCCGTGGAAATAGGAGGAAAATATATGAATACGAATCCTTGGGAATCACTCATTATGTGACTAAGGTGAGGAAAAGCATTGAAATGAGCAGTCAGGTGACTGGAAAAACATCAGCTGTTTTACTTTAAAACAGCTGCCGTTCCAGTGATGCTTCGTAAAAGAGAGCTGGTTTCCTCTGGAACTGATCATGTTAGAGTAACACTAAGAGGTTTTCCTATGTATTCATACTCTCAAAACTTTGAAGTGAGCATAAGCCCCCATGATTTTATTTGAATTGAAGTAATATGTACATACAACAGGATGAATCTTAAATAAATATGTACACTCATGTAACCAACACCCCAGTCAAGCTCAGAACATTTTCTTCACCTCAGACAATTCTTTCACAATCCCTTCTAGTCAAAATGAACTTCTAGAGGCAACCATTGTTCTACTCTATCACCATATGTTGGTTTTATTTGTTCATAAGCTTCACATAAATTGAATCCCCTGGTTTGTACTTTTTTTCTGTCTGCTTGTTTCCCTCAACATAGAATTTTTGGCATTCTTCTATGTTGTGTGTATACATAGCTCACTTTCTTTATTGCTGAAGAACATTCTATTACATAATTATAGCAGAATTAATTTACTCATTCTTTTTTAAATTTTTAATTATTGTGGGTACATAATAGATGTATATACTTATGGGGAACATGAAATACTTTGATACAGACATGCAATGTGTAATTATCACATCATGGTAAATGGGGTACCCATCCCATCAAGTACTGATTCTTTGTGTTGCAAACAATCAAATTATACTCTTCTAGTTATTTTAAAATGTACAATTAAACTACTACTGACTATAGTCACACTGTTGTGCTGCCAAATACCAGGTCTTATTTATTCTTTCTAACTTCTTTTTGTACCCACTAACCATCCCCACTTCCCGCCCACTACTTACTACCCTTGCCAGCCTCTGGTAACCAACCTTCTACTCTCTATCTCCATGAGTTCATTTATTTTAATTTTTAGCTCCCACAAGTAAGTGAAAACAGGATCCATTCATCTTTTTGTGCTTGGCTTATTTCACTTAACAAAATGATCTCCAGTTCCATCCATGTTCTTGTAAAAGACAGAGTTTCATTCTTTCTATGGCTGAATAGCACTTCATTGTGTATAATACCACATTTTCTTAATCAATTCATCTGTTGATGCATGCTAAGGTTGCTTCCAAATCTTGGCTATTATTAATAGTGCTGCAACAAACATGGGAATGCAGATATCACTTCAATATACTGATTTCCTTTCTTTTGGGTATATACCTAGCAGTGGGATTGTTGGATCATATGGTAACTTTATTTTTAGTTATTTGAGAAACCTCCAAACTGTTCTTCATAATGGTTGTACTAATTTGCATTCCCACCAACAGCATACAAGAGTTCCCTTTTCTCCACATCTTTACCAACATTTGCTATTTCTTGTTTTTGGATCAAAGCCATTTTAACTGGGGTTAAATGATATCTCATTGTAGTTTTGATTTGCATTTCCCTGATGACCAATGATGTCGAGCAACTTTTCACCTACATGTTGTATGTCTTCTTTTGAGGAATGTCTATTCAGACCTTTTGCCCATTTTAAATTGGATTATTAGATTTTCTCCTAAATTGTTGTTAACTCCTTATATATTCTGGTTATTAATCCTTTGTCAGATGAATATTTGGCAAATATTTTCTCCCATTCTGTGGGTTGTCTCTTCACTTTGTGATTGTTTACTTTGCTGTACAGGAGTTTTTTAATTTGATGTGATCCCATTTGTCCACTTTTTGCTTTCATTGCCTCTGCTTGTGGGGTATTGCTTAAGAAATTATTGCCCAAATAAATACACTGGAGAATTTCCCCAGAATTTTCTTGTAATAGTTTCATAGTTTGAGGTCTTAGGTTTAAATCTTTAATACATTTTGTTTTGATTTTTTGTGCATGCTGAGAGATAGGGGTCGAGTTTCATTCTTCTGCATATGAATATCCAGTTTCCTCAGCACCATTTATTGAAGAGACTGTCTTTTACTCAATGTATGTTCTTGGCATCTTTGTCTAAAATGAGTTTATTGTAGGTGTATAGGCATATAGATTTGTTTCTGGGTTGTCTATTCTTTTCCATTGATCTATGTGTCTTTTTTTTAATGCAAGTGCCATGCTGTTTTGGTTATAATAGCTCTGTAGTATCATTTGAAGTCAGGTAATGTGATTCCTCCAGTTTTGTTCTTCTTGTTCAGGATGGCTTTGGCAATTCTGGGTCCTCTGTGGTTCCATATAAACTTTTGGATTTTATTTTCTACTTCTGGTATCTTGATAGGGATTGCATTGGATCTTTACATTGCTTTGAGTAGTATGAACATTTTAACAATATTGATTCTTCCAATCCATGAAAAGGGAACGTCTTTCCATTTTTTGTGTGTCCTTATCAATTTATAGTTTTTATTGTAGAGCTCTTTCACTTCTTTGGTTAAGTTAATTCCTAAGTATTTAATTTTATTTGTGGCTATTGAAGATGGGATTACTTTTTTAACTTTTTTTCAGATTGTTCATTGTTGGCATATAGAAATGCTAATAATTTTTGTATGTTGATTATGTATCCTTCAATTTTACTGAACTTGTTTGTCAGTTCTAATAGTTTTTTTTGGTGAATTCTTTAGGTTTTTCCAAATATAAAATCATATGATTTGCAAACAAAGATAATTTGACTTCTTTCTTTCCAATCAGGATGCTCTCTATTGCTCTTTATTTCTTTCTCTTGTCTGATTGCTCTAGCTAGGACTTCAAGTACTATGTTGAATAACAATGGTGAAAGTGGGCATTCTTGTCATGTCCCAGATCTTAGAAAACAGGTTGTCTTTCAGTTTTTCTACATTCAGTATGATACTAACTGTGTTTCTATTATATATGGCTTTTATTATGTTGAGGTATGTTCCTTCTGTACTCAGACTTTTGAGAGCTTTTACCATGAAAGGATGTTGAACTTTATCAATGCTTTTCAGCATCAGTTGAAATGATCATATGGTTTTTGTTCTTCATTTTGTTGATATGATGTATCACGTTGATTGATTTGTGTATGTTGAACCATTCTTGCATCCCTGGGATAAATCCCACTTGGTCATGATGAATGATTTTTGTAATGTATTGTTGAATTTGGTTTGCTAGTATTTTGTTGGTTATTTTTGCATCAATATTCATCGGAGATATTGGCCTGTAGGGGTTTTTTTATGTGTCATTGTCTGGTTTTTTTATGAGGCTAATACTGGGTAGAATGAGTATGGAAGTATTCCATCCTCCTCCATTTCTCAGAATAGTTTAAGTAGGATTGATACTAGTTCTTCTTTAAATGTTTCATAGGATTCAGCAGTGAAGCCATCAGGTCCCAGGCTGTTCTTTGCCAGGAGTCTTTTTATTAGAGCTTCAATCTCATTACTTGTTCTTGGTCTGTTAAGGTTTTGGATTTTTTCCCAGTTCAATTTTGGTAGGTTGTATGTGTCTAGTAATTTATCCATTTCCTTTAGATTTTCCAATTTATTGGCATATTATTTCTCATAGTACCGCTTATGACCCTTTGAATTTCTGTGGTACCAGTTGTAGTATCTCTTTATTTATCTCTGATTTATTTATTTTATTTTATTTATTTATTTATTTTTTGAGTCGGAATCTCACTCTGTCACCCAGGCTGGAGTGCAGTGGCACGATCTCGGCTCACTGCAAGCTCCACCTCCCAGGTTCATGCCATTCTCCTGCCTCAGCCTCCAGAGTAGCTGGGACTACAGGTGCCCACCACCGCGCCCAGCTAATTTTTTGTATTTTTAGTACAGACGGGGTTTCACCATGTTAGCCAAGATGGTCTCAATCTCCTGACCTCCATCTCTGATTTATTTGAGTCTTATTTCTTTCTCACTTAGTCAATCTGGCTAAAGCTTTGTCAATTTTATTTATCTTTTCAAGAAACCAACTAATCATTTTGTTAATCTTTTGTACTGTTTACTTTGTCTCAATTTCCTTTATTTCCTCTCTGATCTTTTATTATTTCTTTTCTTCTACTAATTTTGGGTTTGGTTTGCTCTTGCTTTTCTCATTATTTCAGATGCATTGTTAGGTTGTTTATTTGAAGTTTTTCTTCTTGTTTGATATAGGCATTTATGGTTATACATTTCATTTTTAGTAGTGCTTTTACTATATCCTATAGGTTTCAGTATATTGTGTTTCACTTAACATTTTCTTCAAGAAATTTTTTAATTTTCTTAATTTCTTCATTTACCCACTAGTCACTTGGGAACTTATTGTTTAATTGTGATGTGTTTTTGGTTTCCAAAATTCCTCTTGTTGTTGACTTCTAGTTTTATTCCACTGTAGTCAGAGAAGATGCTTAACATTATTTCAATTTTTGTGAATGTTTTAAGGCTTGTTTGTAACATAATATATAATCTATCATTGAGAATGATCCATGTGCTCAGGAGAAGAATGTGTATGCTGCAGTTGCTGGATGAAATGTTCTGTCAATATCTATTAGGTCAATTTGTTCTATAGTGCATGATAAAATAGTTTATCTTGAAATACTATTAAAAGTGTTCTGGCATATTTCAAAACGGTTAGTTTCCACTTTTTCTGCTGCAAACACAAGGGAATTTTTCTCCAATATTCATTTTAAGAACCTAGTTGAGTTTCTGGAGGTAAAATTCACAAAAGTGAGGGTCACTTTTCAGTAAATGGCCCCTGAAATTTTTAATTCACAGATTTGTCCACACTGAGCTTCCAGCAACTCATCAACTACTATTTAGGCTTTTTTACTCAGGCATTTTTTTTCATGGAGTTTTCTTCTTATAGATTTCTGTTCCAGTAAGTTGTGATTCTCTGTATTTGCCTGTCTACCCCTCCAATTTTGGGGGAAGTATTTTGTCTTGTGACCTCACCTCTGTGAAAGATCAAAGAAGAGTTGTTCATTCTTCAGTTTGTATAGCTTTTTATTTTGTTATGGCAGAGTGACGACTTCCAAGCTCCTTACATGCTGGACCTGAAACAAGAAACTTCCTCTCACTGTATTTTGGAAGCATATAACTTCTCTAGTTTCATGAGCTCACAGCTGGAGATGAATGTTTTCTCAGGATGAATCATACCTTGATACCTTAAATGACATATAGTACAGACTTTGAAGTTGGAGTTGATGCTGGAATAGGTTAAGGCTTTGGCAGGTGTTGGCATGGGGTACATTATTTTGCATGTGGGAAAGAAATGAATTTGGGGGCACCAGAGGGCAGAATGGTATGGGCTGAATTGTGTTCTTCCAAAATACATATGTTGAAACTCTAACCCCCAATATGACTGTATTTGGTGATAGGGTTTTAAGGAGGTAATTAAGGTTAAATAAGATTATAAGAGTGAGGCCGTAATACAATAGGGCTGGTATCCTTACAAGAATAGTAAGAGACACCAAGAGTGTCCATGCACAGAGGGAAGGCCATGTGAGGACACAGGGAAAAGGCAGCCATCTGCAAACCAGAAGGAGAAACCTCACCAGAAATCAACACTGTCAGCAGCTCGGTCTTGGACTTAATAGTTTCCAGAACTATCAGAAAATAAATTTCTGTTGTTTATGCCATCCAGTCTGTAGCATCCCTATAGTTTTGTATGGCATCCTTAGCAATCAAAGACAAGTCTCAACTGAATGTTTAATGTATTCAGTGAGGTCTATTTTCCCAAGCATTGTATGACCACTGGCATTTCTTTTCAGTTCTCTGCCTATTATTAGCCACTTCCTGCTAGACCTTATGTAGTCTTATGTGCATGCAAAACTCAGCTCTCATCAGACCTCTAGAACTCCCCTCTTCAGAGTTTCCTGTTTTGAGGTACCTTGCTATTTCAGCTTGACTGAACTCCAACCTCTGCCATTTCAACTCAATGGGACAACCACTCTGCAATTGGCTTCTACCTTCCTGAACTCTGGTTTGAAAACTGTGTTTAGGCAGAAAGCTAGAGAAAATATGGAGCTCACCTTGTATGTTGCTCTTGTCTCAAGGATCATAGCTCTGTACTGTCTGAAAACAGTTGTCACCCATATTTTGCCCAGTTTTAGGATTGCTTATGGTGGGAGGGTTATGCTCAATACCAGTTATTCTAGCATGTCTAGAAACAAAGATTTTTCATAAGAACTTTCCCACTTAAAGGTCATATCAAATAAGATATGAGATAGTTTGTGTTCTTGCTATTCCTAACACCTCATCATCATACCCGGAATTTGAGCAATAGGTCAGGATTACTTGGCAGCCCTCACACACCTGTACACAAAAAATCTCCCAAATATTACACACATAAATCAGCATGGTACTACATGTAGAAACAGTAAAATTGTGAGTAATATAGTATCCTCCATATGTTTTCAATTTTAAGTAAATGTCACAGTCCTTTAAGGTAAAAACATAGTAATGAAGAAGCAATCAGAAATGAATTTAGTTCTCCAATCATAATTCAGCCATAATCCAGCATTATTAAAATCTTATTTTAAAACTTATGCAGACAGTAGTAAGTATTTAATTTATGAAGGAAAGGCATAGTTAAGGTGTTGTATAACTTGTTGTCAGAAGACATGAGTTCAAATCCTCTTTCTTCTCTAACTTTGTGACCTTGGGAAAGTTACTTGACCTCACTGCATCATACTTGCTTTATTTCTGAAATGGGCTAATGAACCTAAAAGGGCTGCTTTGATGCTAAGTAACATAGGTAAAGAAGTTGGTGCAAGACAGGCACTCAATAAATAAACCTTAAATCTTATAATGATAAGATAAAACTGTACTTTTTGAATATTTTCAAGATTTTAAATTGAAAAAAAAAAAGCTAACCAGCATCTGTTTACAGTGAATTCCAATGAAGCAATTAAGTTAACTAAGAAAAGTGAAACTGATGACTCATGTCAAAGATAGGTGATTCCTATTTTCCTCTCAAAAAGGAAGTTTAATAATGGTGAGGTAAGGAATACATTGAAATGCTTACAGAAGTCTCAACAAGTCTCTATCAGCAGTTGAGATATGTGTTTAATTTTCTCATGTGGTAGCTGTGGAGAAAGGCACGAGAACCCTAGTACTCCTACTGTTTGGCTTGAGACACGGCACTGTGTCATAACCAGTTTGTTCCTTAGGAGTTATCAGATCCAGTCCTTCACAGTGCCTCTAGGTTTGTGGCTTCAATACTACGTTCTGAAAGATCCTTGAGCTCTGGGTCATATTAGGGTTCTACACATGACTGCAACTAAAAAAAGAGAGAAGGAAGGAAGAAGAGAGGAATGGAGAAGAAGAAGGAGACAGGGAAGAAGGGAGAGCAGAAGAAAAAGAAAGATAGGGAGAATTACTGTTCTTCCTGAATTCTGTGATGTTACCTGACATTAATAACAATTATCAAAATCATTCATCATCATCATTGCTATAGTTAAGAACTTGCATACATTCTCAAAAAAAAACTTTATGAAGAAAGAATTATCCTTATTTTACACATAAGGATATTAAGATTCAGGTAGCCCAAGTTGCAGAATTGTTGCAGCGCTAGTACTAAGACACGCATATACCTGAGTTCATTATCTATTCCTTTCCGACATGATACATTGCCTCTTTTCATAGCTTCGCTTCCATGGGAATCTGATTACATGACATAGATTAGCAAGAAAGACATTTATTAAGGAATGTTCTTGGCGTCATTACCTGTGTGGGGTGAAGAATGAAGCAGGATTGGGCAGCAGGGAGAAGTTAAGTATGGCACATTCACAACAATGCTTCAGCCAACCTCACAGGGAACTATGAAGCCAAAATGGCCCAAGAGAGTTGTTTGAATTATGATAAGGAAACCAAACCTCCATATTCATGTCATTGAATGTGGGCTAGTTTCAGAAGGGAATTTGAAATTGGACAAGGCAGCTCTCTTTAGCAGAAGCAATTCTCCAACAGGGCTGAAGGCTGAGTGTTGTCATTCAGCAACATTTCTAGAAGCTTGGAAGAAGTCCTTTAGTCCTGATAAGGGAACTTGACAGAGCAAAGCAGTACTGCACGATATCTCTTCAAGATACAACACTAATCACTGACAAATACTGAGTCATCAGAAAGAAAACTGGCCCAGAAAAAAAAAATTTATTAAGAGAAATAAATATGTGAAATCTAAGAGAAATAAATTTAATTTCATTTCATCATCTCTATATGAGGAAATAAAACATCAGACAACATAAGCATAGGGAAGGCATCAGCTCATGTATAATCAGTCAAGAAAAGAAACATCCCTAGTAGAGGAAGCTCATTAAAAAAAAATTATACCTAGACATTTTTTCAAGTACTACAATAAAAAAGAAGTACAACTAACACTTATGTACTCATCACCCAACCTTGGTAACTCTAAATATTTCATTATGTTTCAGATTTAAACCAAACACTCAAACAATATAAACAGTTGAATCAACTTGTATGTCCTTCCAAAATTTCATCTTACTCTTTGCTTTAGCCCAGTTTATCTATAAAACAAAGGCCACAGTGAAGCCTCTGTGCTGAGGCTTTTGAGGGGGGCTGTATTTCCAGGCAGCAAGAATAAGGAAAAAAGGGTTTTGGTGCTGGAATAGAGGAAAAGCAAATGTAAAATATTTTCATATTATTCTCTATTTTAAAATCTGTAGTTATGTTCCTTATTTATTTATTTTTTTATGTTTTACTTTATTTTATTTATTTATTTATTTATTTTATTTTATTTTGTTTTTAAGATAGAGTTTCACTCTCATTGCCTAGGCTGGAGTGCAGTGGAATGATCTTGGCTCACTGCAACTTCCACCTCCTCAATTCAAGCAATTCTCCTGCCTCAGCCTCCCCAGTAGCTGGGATTACAGGCACCTGTCATCATACCCGGCTAATTTTTTGTATTTTTAGTAGAAACGGGGTTTCATCATGTTGGCCATGCTGGTCTCGAACTCCTGACCTCAGGTGATCCACCCACTTCAGCTTCCCAAAGTGCTGAGATTACAGGCATGAGCCACCGCACCCAGCCCCATTTTTATTTCTATAATTGTTTGTTTGTGCCTTCTTTCTTTTTAAAACTTTCTTAGTCCACAGAATGGAAAATCTGTTCATTTTCTTATATCTCATTATCTCTTTGTCTCTCTTTTTTGTCTTTAAATTCTCACACTTTGTCTTTAAATTATCTCTGTGGTGGTATATGTGTGTCTAGTTTATTTTTTCTCCCATGAAATCCTTCTAGTACATATTACTTAATTATTTCCCCCAAAATGGAGACAGCTAGGTTTCTTTTAATTCCTCCCCCTGCCATTGCGTATAGATGCCCCAGAACAGTAAGACTAATGTGATGATTAAAATAAATAATATACATAAAATGCTTTGAGAGTTACCTTACACCTCACGGAAAGCTAAGTAAGTGGTAATTATTAATATTATTTTTTAATGCAAAAGACATTTTTCCTATAATTTCCAAGCTCATATGACCAAATGTGCCTTCCAAATCCACTTGGAACAAAGGCATCAGAGCCACATGTCACTCCCTGCAAGTGGAGAACACAACAGCCTCTCTGCCATCTTCCTCCATCTTTTTCCACTCTGCTAATGCTCTTATCACACAAGTTTGACTCCAGAAGAGAAAGAATTAGAGTCTCTTCAAACAGGGTGCTACCAATCATCTCCTGGCACTCATATTGTTGGCATCCAGGCAGCTGCTAAACTGGCCACATATCTAACCAAAAGAAGCCAGGGAACCCGTGAAAAACAATCTGAGGGAAATGAACAGGTTTTACTTAGAGGAAAGTCAATTTAATATAACCAATGAAAGAACAACTCCTGATAGGTTACTACTTGCTTCAAAAAATCCTTTAGAAACCCAGCTTCCTACAAATATTTGCCACAAAATATGGGCTAGTGAAGAAGTAGTGGACAAAAAATGGGGTATGCTGAGTTCTCTCTAGGGACTGGAACCCTCTGGCGCTATGATCCCACTTTCCCTCTCTTGGCTTATGGTACAGTTTCTTCATCTGGAGCATGAGATCTTTGCTGAGATTTTCCTTACATCTTCTTTATAGTCTTGGCTTTTTTTTAAAAAAAAGAATAAATGTTTACTGATCTATACCTTTGCAAAAATTTTCTCCCATTAAACTAAAGAGCTTCTGCACAGCAAAAGAAACTATCACCAGAGTGAACAGGCAATCTACAGAATGGGAGAAAATTTTTGCAATCTATCCATCTGAAAAAGGGCTAATACCCAGAATCTATGAAGAACTTAAACAAATTTACAAGAAAAAAAACAAACAATCCCATCAAAAAGTGGGTGAAGGATATGAACAGACACTTCCCAAAAGAAGAAATTTATGTGGCCAAGAAACATGAAAAAAGGCTCATCATCACTGGTCATTAGAGAAATGCAAATCAAAACCACAATGAGATACCATCTCACACCAGTTAGAATGGTGATCATTAAAAAGTCAGGGAACAACAGATGCTGGAGAGGATGTGGAGAAATACGAACCCTTTTACATTGTTGGTGGGAATGTAAATTAGTTCAACCATTGTGGAAGACAGTGTGGTGATTCCTCAAGGATCTAGAACCGGAAATACCATTCGACCCAGCAATATCATTGCTGGGTATATACCCAAAGGATTATAAATCATTATACTATAAAGACCACAGGCACACATATGTTTATTGCGGTACTGTTCACAATAGCGAAGACTTGGAACCAATCCAAATGCCCATCAATGATAGACTAGATAAAGAAAATGTGGCACATATACACCATGGAATACTATGCAGCCATAAAAAGGATGAGTTCATGCCCTTTGCAGGGACATGGATGAAGCTGGAAACCATCATTCTCAGTAAACTAACACAAGAATGGAAAACTGAACACCACATGTTCTCACTCATAAGTAGGAGTTGAACAATGAGAACACATGGACACAGGGAGGGGAACATCACACACCGGGGCCTGTAGGGGATAGGGGAGGGTTAGCATTAGGAGAAATACCTAATGTAGATGACAAGTTGGTGGGTGCAGCAAACCACCATGACACATGTATACCTATGTAACAAACCTGCACATTATGCACATGTACCCCAGAACTTAAAGTATAATTAAAAAAATAATATCCCTGTTTCTATTGTTAGCTAATTTTTTAAATTAAATTGAGAATAGAAGGATGGTAGCATATATGGGTGTAGAAAAATTGCTGTCAGCTAACATATAGTAAAGAACCAGTTGATTGAAAAACATTTATACTGAAGAATTTAAATCTTAGAAGGTGGTGCTGGTAAAAATAATTTAGATCATCTAGTTCAACCACTTCATCTTACAGGTGAAGAAAATACGTGTCACGAAGCAGTGAAGAGATTTGCCCAATGATGACTAGCTAGTTAAATAAGGAATCAGGACAAAAGCCCAGGATATCTGAATGCATAGTTATTGTGGTTCCTTTATTATCTCTGGGAAAGACAATATCATCATAAAGATGAATCAGGCATCTACTCTGTAGAATAATCTACAGAGCAAAATAATTGGACCAAAAAAGTAAGGGAGAATAAAGCAGATTGTAAAAAATGGCACAATTATGGTATACAGTTGCTGTGGAAGCACAATAGTGAGAGAGATTTATTGTCTTTGTCAAAGGCCTAGAATATCATGTCCCTGAATAAACCCAGAGGAATTATACAGAGGATTCAACTGCTATTTATACTATTTTAATCACATAGTTTCTCAAGTCAGTGCTAACAGACTGATTCACATTTCTTCCAGAGTTCTCTCAAGCCTTGGTGGTAATTCCTGCTGGGACAAGCAGGGAAAACTACTCTTTATGGAGGAATTAAAATGTCGGCTGTACTACAGGAAGGGGAGGTAGTATATAAAGAGAATACTGATAATGATGGGAACTGGGAAATAGTACTTCATTTGATGTGGTATTCTAGGTATTCTATGGAGCAGTGCTTGAAATGATGTTCATTTTGCTAACAGAAAAATTTAATATCTTGTGGTCCTATGTGTTGGCTTTTTCTCTTTTGGCAGATCTCTGGAACTATCCTACTTGTCTGTAATTTCCCTGGGCAAATCCAGTGAATCATGGCTAGAGTTCTATATTGCTCTAAGACAGGCTTATGAAACAAGGAAGACTCCTTAACTTCAGGGCCACAAGATTGTTTCAGGGTCACTTGGCATTTGATTAGATAGATTTAGGTAGGTTGTATCCTGATTTATCCAGGACATTATACTTCGTGGTATGGCCAGGACTGGTTTGGAGCTCATATACCTGAAGATAGCTGTATATAGGGACATATAGTTTGTCTTTTGGCACTTGCATTTAGTCAGGCTCGAACCTGCAGTAGTTTGACCTTTCTAAGGTGTTTTACCATTGCTAAGGCCTAGCTTAGCACAGGGTGGGATGATCTAGTTACTTCCCAATAGGTAGCTTACAGTCTATCCTTTGCAGTCTTCATATTTGATCCAAATGGGAATCTTCACCCACAGCATAACATATAATATATATTTTAAAATGTATTAAACAAGTAAGAACTCAAACAGTTATAATATTTCTGCTACCCCCTCCCCACTGCCCAAATATCTCATTTCCTTCCCTCTACTCATTTGGATTTTGTTCAGGGAATCTCTACTATTTAAACTTGGAGGAGGAGAGAAATATATTGTATTAGTCACATGATGACCTGTTCTGGCTCTTCTCTCTGGCATGAAAGGCCAGTAGTTTCCCTTATACTGGCTTACCAAAAGAACCAAAGACCAAGCCAGAGCTAGGTCTCAAGACAGTGCATGAGCACTGTCTCTTTGTTTTTCAGTCTTAGTGGAGCCTTTGATACTTCTTTTTTCCCCACTCCTGATAAGGCACACTCTCTGATTAATATTTTCTTAAGAAGCATATCAGGTATGCTACATTCACCCTCTACATTTCCCCTCTCTAACATGAATATGTTCACCACATGGGTACATTCTTACTTCCAAACCAGAACATTTCAGGATATACTGTATTTCTCTATATAATTACCTTCAAGATCAAATGCAATAAACATTAAATATATGCCTTAGGGGTAGGGCAGATTGGCAACATTAATTCTGTAAGGTCATGATTAAAATAAGTGAATTGTATACCTATGGTCAGGAGGATAATGATTATGATGATCTTATTTATTCTATTGGGTAAGCCATTTATTCTCCACTAAATTACTTCTAACAACCTCTTTTTCTCTTACTGATGATAGCCTAGAAATGTCTTGTCAATATTTTTAAATCTATATGCAGGCAAAACTTTTGCACTCAACTTGACCATACAGCTTGCCTGTCTAATAAATTATAAGTGATGGAGCAAATTATTACTGGGGTACATTTTTTTCATGCTTGAAATGTTTTATTGATTATTATTTTTATAATTGAAATGTATTTTTAAATTATACTTTAAGTTCTAGGGTATGTGTGCACAACATGCAGGTTTGATACATAGGTATACATGGGCCATGTTGGTTTGCTGCATCCATCAACTCATCATTTACATTAGGTATTTCTCCTAATGCTATCCCTCCCCCAGCTCCCCACCCCCCAACAGGCCCTGGTGTGTGATGTTCCATTACTGGGGTACATTTTAACCTACAATATCAGATATAGGTGAAAGCACAAAACATATCCAAATTTAAGTAGGTCTTGGAAATGCCTCTGGTTGAAACATCTTGGAAACCAATCCTTTCTCCATTTCTATCCATGATAGTTTTTATCTTCCACATCCAGCACCTCATTATGTATTGAAGAATGACAGTCTTTGATCTGAAAATAACATCAGATTTCTATTCTACTCCTACCCATTTTTCTAGTCTAACATTCTCCCCATTCCCTTTTCTGCTTTCACCCATCTTAGGAGACACAGGAAGATATTTTAACATTAGTCTTTTCCCACATACCCCTGGACAGTGTGCAAATTGTATAAACTTTCTAAAGGGCAATCATACCACATCTATTTAAATAAGGTATTTACCCTACTAGTTACTTACCTCAGAGAAACACCAATGTATGTGGACGGAGCCTTGTTCAAGAGTGTTTCATTATAGCTTTGTTTGTAACAGCAAAAATTGGAAGGAACCTTGCCTTATCCGTGGGTAATATCAGTGAAGGTAGTAAGAAGTGAATGAATTAGAAATATGTTTTGATGGGCATAGTTAACAGGATGTGCTGATTGATTGGATAAGGGTGGGAGATAAAGTGCAGAGGCCTGGATGTCCCAAGCATCTTTGGTGTAAGAAACATGGGAGGATAGAGTTTCTATTAAATGAGATGGAGAAATATATAGTAAGAATTTATATGAGAGTAGTGGTGGTGGAAGAGAGGAGTCAAAAGCTAATTTCTGGACAAGTTTGGGGTGCCTGTCAGACATATATGTAGAGGTGTCAAGTACATAATTGGATATATGAGTTTGAACTCAAAAGAGAAGTCTAGGCTAAAGGTATAAATTGGGAGTAAACAGCACATAGATGATATTTTTATAGCCATGAAATTGGAAGAGTTCCCCTAGGTAGTAAATGCAGAAAAAGTATCCAGATGTAGAGGACAGGAAGATAAGCAGAATCAAACTAAGAAAAGAAAAACAGCCAAGTAGAAGGAATCTATAAGTGGTTATCTTGGAAGCCAAGTGAACAATGAGGTGCAAGGAAGGAGTGAGTAACCGTGTTAAGTGTTGAAAATACTGGCTGGCCGCGGTGGCTCATGCCTGTAATCCCAGCACTTTGGGGGCTGAGGTGTGCAGATAGCGAGATCAGGAGTTCGAGACCATCCTGACCAACATGGTGAAACCCCGTCTCTACTAAAAATACAAAAGTTAGCCAGGCATGGTGGCAGGCACCAGTAATCTCAGCTACTCTGGAGGCTGAGGCAGGAGTATCATTGGAACCCAGGAGGCAGAGGTTGCAGTGAGCCAAGATTGTGCCACTGCACTCCAGCCTGGGCAACAGAGCAAGACTCCATCTAAAAAAAAATTAAAAATACTAACATGGTGTTAAATGTTGTGTTAAATTTTGAACACAACTTTTTTGTTTGTTTTAGGTCAAATTTTAAATTTTAAAAAGTGTTGGCATATGTAAATCTGAAAAATCTAAAGCATTAAGGAGTGGAACCAATTAATGTGGCCCATAGCTTTAGCAACTTTCCTACTTCCAAAGCACAGTGCTTTGCCAGAATTTTCACAGCACATTTACAAAATTAATCATTCATTATGAAGAAAGACAAGTTTTCTTTTCATAGGTGCCATGTGATTGTAGAATCAGTCTGGTAGCTATAGATTTTAGTTTCTAATTCAGTTGCTCAGAATGGTTATATAAATGGAATTCCAATAGCTTAGGGCATGCCTGACATGACTAAACCTATTTCTTAGGTAGTAACCCCAAAGTTTAGTGTTAGGAGCTATGGAGATATTTTTGAAAGCCTTCCAATTATCTTGAATTTCATATGTGTTTGCACATGTCAATAGGCAGTCCATTTTCTGTGTGTGCTTTTATTTATTTTAAAGATTCTGATCCTGTACCAACTACATATTTGCTTATTGCTGCCGGAGAAAATCACAAAACTATGCAGCTTAAGACTCTTTAAATTCATGGTCTCCAGCTTTAGCTGGATTGTTGATGCTGCCTGGGACTTCTTCTAGGTTTCCCAAGTAAGTTATTGTTTTCATGTTCTGTGGTCTCCATTTGATTCAAATTGTTAGTCCCTTTATATCTTCTCTGTTATTTCTCAAAATTAATAAAAGTCATCTGATGCAAACTCTTCTCCCCACCAAACTTACACGTTCACTTGAATCCATACTATCCTTTCTTCCTTCCCTCTTGTTGGTAGAAGTGAGACACTCCTCTATTTATAAAGATGTACTCCTAACTATATTCTCAATGCCCTCACCCGGATACCCCAGTCGCTGATTGTAACCTTTCTTTACTGTCTCCAACTTCTTCCTGTTTGCTAGTTTCTTCTTATCAACACTTAAACATGTTTGTTTTTACTATTTTATAATAAAACACAAAAACAAATCTTTCCATGACCCTACATTCTCCTCTAGCTACTTCCCGCATCATTTCCCTTTCTTCAAAGACAAAATTCTTATCAACAATAACTCTTCAAACCATGTCCTCTTCAAACCACTCTTCAATTCACTGAAGTCCACCACTGCTTCTGCCAGCTCACTGAAGTTTCTTTTGCCAAAATCACCAATGATCTACTTGTTCCTAAATCAAATGGACATTTTTCTTTTAACATAATTGAACCCTTTGGATCACTTAATTGTTTTAATAAAATGGTCCCGTCCTTTGGCTTCTGTGACATTTCACTCACTCCCCTGGTATGTTTTCTACTTCATCAGCCACTTCTTCATAATTTTCAGCTTGTTCTGCCTCTCCTTATATGTTTGCCTTCCTGAAGATCATGTTTTGGGTCTTCTTTTTGTCTCATTTTATACATTCACCCTGTGCAGTCTCATTCACTATCATGGCTTCAGTTATAAAGCCATAACAACATTTATCTTTTACGCAATAACCACATTAAAACCATAACTAGTACTACTAATAAAGCACAAACTTTATTAGAAATTATAATTAGGAGTCTGAATATCATGGTTCCAATTTTGTGTTTACTATTATTAATAAAAACGTGACCTTAGACAAGTAATAAGCCTTCCCTTTAAGATTCAATTTCTTTTTTATAAAAAAGCAATTAAATACCCTCTGAAGCAATACACAAACTGGTTTTGGAAATATAGTAAGATGACAAAAGGATATAGAGGTATGTGCATTTAAATAATTTTTATGATTATATATAATATGTATATGATTTTTATATATTTATATAAAGCTATAAAACATGATTCATTATATGGAACATTACTGTGCTGCTTAGACTTTTGAAATACGTATTTTTTTCTAACATGGTTGGTTTTATTTTATTCCCCATGTGCTTAGAACATAATACATTTTGGAGCACAATGAAGTAGATATTAGAATACCTATTGACTTTCCATTAGAAATTATGAAATGTTTTAGCTTCCATTTTTTTAAAGAGATAGGGCCTCACTCTGTTTCCCAAGCTGGAATGCAGTGCTGTAATCATAGCTCACTGAAGCCTCAACCTCCTGGGCTCAAGAAATCTTCCCACCTCAGCCTCTCAGGTAGCTGAGAAAGTTGTTTTATTCACTGGCATAGTAAATTAAAAGTTATTTATTGCTTTTGCGGCTCTGTCTTCCTGGAGATCTTTACTATCCTCTGCATCTAGCTAGTAGAAGGAAATATAGAGTGTAAAAAAAAGCCACATCCACCTCTTAAAACCCTTGGCATGGAAGTATAATAACACACACATCACTCTCCACATTCCACTGGCAGGTGCTAGTGGCACAGCCATACTTAGAAGCAGAAAATGGGAGCATATTTATCTTCAGCTTTAGAGTAGCTCTTAAATTTACAGTGTGTAAGAGAATGACAATCATGTAATCTTCTCCCACCTTTTCCTCTTTGCCTTGCACCTTATAACTGTTGCCAAACCTAGAATTACTTTTATATTTTCAAGATGTATAAAATTTACCTTATGTCTTGTAGCTATATTTACATTTACTATGCTTGTCTAGGCGGATTCTAAAACCTATAAACCAATAACTTAAGAAGAAAATATGTGATTGTATTTAACAAAACAACAACAACAACAAAAAATCATAGTATTAACCCCGTGCACCTCAAGGAAAAAGCTGCAAGCCTGTGGTCTGCTGATTCCACCTTCACTCTGGTGATCAACTACTCAAAACCAGACCACATTTAAATTTGCTTCATATTGGGAGCATGGCTTTCTTATATTAGCTTTTAGTATACTTTGTATTTATTTGATTTCTATTTTCTTGTTAAGAAAAATCTGACTTCATTTGAATGCTGAGATCCTTCAGCTTCCTATTCACAAAATGTGTGTAACGGGATCCATTTTCTTAGACAATCTTCTTGGAACTCTGTGGCCTTCTTATAACTCTAGGATAGCTCCCTTAGACTTCTCTAAAGCTTTCTAAACTTTCTTTTGCTTTTATTTACAATTTAGGTTTATCTTTCCTTGGATTTCTTCTTTCTTTTAAATGCCTCTTTTTCATTTTACCTCAATAATCCTTAAGTGTTTTTTAAGAAAGGTGCGTTGTAGAAAACTTTCTCACTTTCTTACACATCTGGAAAAGCTTTATTTTACCTTGACAATCTGTTGACTTTTTGATTAAGTAGAAAATTCAAAGTTGATTTTTTTCTTTCCATCTTTGAAGGCAGTTATCTATTTTCTTGTAGCATTCATGTTGAGGAAAAGTCCAATTCCTATTATTTTTCAGATGATTTTTTTAGGCTCTGACTGAGTTTGAGATTATCTTATTTTGTCTTTGGTGTTCTGAAAGTCTATAAAGTTTTAAAATTTAAATAAGTGTATTCTGAGTGTTGATGACTTTTAAAATATTACACTTACATGTACTTTCCATCTTCAAAAATGCTTTATTTTCTTCTAAGTTTCTTCTTTTTCAAGTGGCTTTTTTATATGGCTGTAATATCTTTGCACATATTTTATATGGTACAAAACATATATAACTATTTTAAGCATTCTCTTCTATTTCAATATGTCTCCACTTTCCCAAGTGTTACTTAATCCATCTGTTTATCTTGAATTTTATATTTTGTGCTGCATTTTTTCCCAGATGACTCATGGTTCTTGTTTTCTTTTTGTTTTATTGATGAATGAATGATTAGGCTTCTTAGTGTTGTTTCCTCCACAATTATATATGCCTGCTTTGCCAGCGAGCTTCCACCCTGATTGGGAGCATTGGCTTTGAAATTAGTTTCGCAGGTAGAGTTTATTTCAATACTAGTCAGGGTCAAATCAGGAGACGATAACAGCCTCATTTATTTTAACAAAGAGTATTTAACATCAAGAATTATTAACTAGGTATTAGAGAACTGAGAAGGTAAAAAGGTAATAATGTCACTAGCAGTTATGACAAGTAGGGTGGCAGGGATAAAGGGGGAAAAGTTGGAATAGTTACAACTTAGAAGTTTGGAGGGTGGGTCCTGTGGCACTAAGGCATACACTTCTGAGGAACAAGCACTGCTCAGCTGGCACAGATGCCTTAGGAGGATGGAAGGACCTGTGGAGCTGGGACTCAGACCTTTGAGGAGGAACATTCCTCGGCTTGTTCTGGTGCTTTAGAACTCAGAGGAAAGGCCACGCAAAGCCAAGACCCAAAATCTTCGAGGATGAGATTCAGCACAGCTGGTGTTAAAGGCCGAGGGGACACAATAAAGCTAATTCTGTGTTGGAAAAACTACAAACTAGAATCAACAGCTACTACTGGAATAAAATGCTGCTGCTGTCCAGGTAAGGAAGTGCTGCTCTGATGATACTGCCAAGAACAGCCATGGAATCTCCCTTTTGTGCCCCCTACTGGCTGAGCCTATAGGGAATATGACAACAAAGGAGAAATGTGGATTGCAGAGTCCTAGTTCTATGACAGCACAACAGGGTATAGATTGGTAAATTTGAAGCCAAGAGATAATAGCATAATAACATGGACAGTTTAAAGCAGCTATTTCTTAGCAATCTTCATCTATTTTCATGCTAAAATTAAAGGAGTTCGTTTGGGATCGCTATTGCTCACATTTGGGAGTCTAGCCCTCCTTATAGATGTATCTCCACTTCTATGTTATTGCCACATCTGTCTTCTCTGTATACACACAAGGATGGGAGTGGTGGACTGGATTCAGGATGTCATAGTTCAGCATATGGTCTTTTAAATAATTACTTTCACTGTCACAAAGCACAATCCTACTCATCACATTTGTCAATTGTTTGTGATCCCTCCACGACACAGATTGGTTTTCATCTCTGCTCATACAAGGAACATCTGCCCAATTTGCTTTATGCCTTCAACTTCTTCAGACTATTGATGCTCTATGTTTTGTTTTTGATTATTTTATGGATTTATTCCCTTCAGAGCATTTTCATGCTCATTGCAGTGGGATTCAAGAGGGAGGATTAATAAATGTGCTTCATTTGGCCGGGCGCAGTGGCTCACGCCTGTAATCCCAGCAGTTTGGGAGGCCGAGGCGGGCAGATCACGAGGTCAGGAGATCGAGACCATCCTGGCTAAAACGGTGAAACCCCGTCTCTCCCAAAAATAGTAAAAATTAGCCGGGCGCGGTGGCGGGCGCCTGTAGTCCCAGCTATTCGGGAGGCTGAGGCAGGAGAATGGCGTGAACCCGGAAGGCGGACCTTGCAGTGAGCCGAGATCGCGCCACTGCACTCCATCCTGGGCGACAGAGCAAGACTCCGTCTCAAAAAAGAAAAAAAGAAAAAAAAATGTGCTTCATTTGTCATGGAGCATGAAAATCTGAATCAATGTCTTTTCAAGAACATAGATTCTTAATTTTTTCATAAAAATATTTGCTAGTGGTGGCTTATTTCATTATTTGTCATTTAAACTAGGTTAAGTACATATTTAAGTGCTATTTAAATCCTGAAAACTGGTATCACATAACACTATATCTTATGGTAATAAGGCAAGCAGGACCATAAAAGACAGCAAAATAATATTTAGCTTCTGCCTTTATCATCACAAATATAAAGAGTAGCAAGAGCACATAGCTCTATAATTATCAACTTTCATTTTGTATATTTTATTTGGAGGTTATATCAAAATGTTATCAAGTCTTTTACTAGATTCTAATGTAATTTAGACAAATGAGTTCAAACTAGAAAAATGAGCCTGCTAAGTGTCTCATATTAAATAGCTCACATTCCACTCAATTCCCTATAGGAACGTAGAATGGAGCAAAAAGTAAAGGTATGATTGCTTAACAGAATACAATACAAGATGCATTTTTAATCTGCTTATGGCAGAGACATCATTTGGAACTTTTTTCTGAATACTAGAGAAATAAGTCTGACTAGAATTTGATACTATTAATTGACCTTTCTGTTACTCAGGCCCTTTCAAAGAACTATCAAGGACTCATAATTAACCCATAAGAGGAATATGGGAATGAAGTATTTCAATAGATAATTTTCACTGTGGTCTATAAAATGGAGCCTACATCTCTGTAGTCTCAGACATTCTAACTTATTTGCCCATAATAACATGAAAGTTCTATAAACAGTTATTTCTTTCCTTCTGCCTTAATCGACCTAATTTTAAACATTAAATACAGCTTCATCCTTCAAAAAAAATATAACATCTTTAAGCAATCCAATTTGCCATAAAAGAATATAAGTGACTGCCTCCAACTTTTCCCTAGTAAGACAAAGGCAAAATGAATGTTACAAAGTAAAGACTATAATGAGCAGCAATGTAATATAATTAGAGACCAATGATTTTTTACTGAACAAATAGAATATTTATTTTGAATTATTCTAGAGTCATCGAAGTTACTGAATCAATTCATTAAACTGCTCGATTTTCAATCCCAACTTTTCCATTACTAGCTGTGTGACCTTAGGCAAAAATTTAAGGCCTCACTGCCTCCAGCATTCTCATCTTTAAAATGAGGATAATAATAAAAACACTTAAATTGTAGGACTATTGTGATAACTGCATGAGTTAATAAAAATAAGCACTTAAAAGAATGTCTGGAAAATGGTGAGTGCACAATTAATATTAGCTGAATATTTTCACTACTATGTTATTAAATATTTAACCCACTAAGAGACAAAGACAGTTCTAAACGTTAAATATACTCATGAAGTCTTAGAGATTTGAGTATCTTTGTTGAGCTTAATGTTCAAGTGTTTAGAAAAAAAGTTGATGATTGTAATACAAGTGATCATAAATTCTGTGGTAGACCATGGGTACTATGTAGTCAACCACTGATCATTCATTCATTACAAGGATTACAATTTGGTCTGGAAAATACTACCTTTTTTTTAATTCCTCCAAAATGCCTCACCCTATTTGGTTATATGGCTGCCATTGTAGTTTGGAAAAAATGATAAAAAAGAATCGTACACAGATTGCAAATAAGAAAAGTGAGATTTAAGATAAGTTTGTTGGATTATTTGAGATGCTAAAAAGAAATTTCAATGTTATGTAAATAAGTTGAGGCTGTGAATTATACTGATCCTACTCTGAGTATTAATATTCATTCAGATTATCCTTATCTGGAAATTATTTTTAAAATTGGTGCTTTACTTAAAGATTTATAGACTATGAACTACTTGTGTTTAGGGACTGGGTAGTACTCATTTAATATGTATTAAGTAACCAATTTAAATGGTTGTCTAGACATAGAGAGATAATCTAACTGATATAGATTCAGAGAAGAACAAAATAGACATGGACTGGTGAGATTAGACAAAAATGAATAATGAGGCTACAGTTGTGCTCTAGAAGATGAGAAAGATTCAGATAGTTGCAGAGAGGTGGAGATAGAATTTGAGATCTGGAAACCAGAATGAGCAAAAGACCTATAGCTGAGTGAATAGAAGGAACAGAAAGGAGCCTCGGGAGAGTTTGGGATGAGATAGAGATGAGGTGATGAGCAGACACTGAGATTCTGGATCTAATGCCATAGGCAAGTCAGAGGTGCTGAAACAATGGAATAATATGAAATAAACCATTAACGATAATTCGTCTGGTAGATTGGGTAAGATGGAATTGAAGACAAGAAGTCCAAGAATGAGAGTCTCAACATAGACGTGATGTTTTAAAACTTATGGATAGGGTAGAAAGAGAAGGATAGAGAGTTTGGAGGAGAAAAGAGACAAATATGTTAACTAAATAAAGACTAGGAAGGAGAAGGAAGAAATAAAGCAATCACTGAGATTTGAGCCCTTTTGCTATTGACAGAACTGAGACAATTTGGAAATACGGCAAATTTGTTTGTTTAGGCAGCAAGGTTCCTCTAGAATTTGGTAAATTTTAGGTGATACATGCCTGTTGAAACATGAATGTGCTGGAGATAAATGATATATTTTTCTTATGCTTCTCAGCACCTAGTTTAATACTACAAGAATAAAGAGTATTTTGACAAAGTTTATTAAACTAATTTGAAGATTTTAATTTAAACTGTAGCATTCTGTTATGTGTATAATTTCTATCACAAAACAAGAATTTTATTTTGTATAATAATAAAGTAGCTTGTAAGATAATATATCACTAAAGAGTCATACATTTAATTCTATATTTTAAAGAATTAAAATATTTTAACGAAAGCCCATTGAACGTTTTCTACATTCTTAAAAGGAAATAATTTCCAGAGACATTACAATGTAACCCTATATTCAATGTTCAAAGATTCTACTCCAATCATTTTATTTTTGACCATGAAGGAGTAGCTGGTGCTGAGACTTAACCACCTTACATAAACAACTGTAAGAATCTACTAAATAATTTATGACACGTCTTAATTGTCTAGACAGAGAATTGTGGGAGACTTTTCCTCACATTTGGTGATAGTGTTTGGATGCTATCTTATTTTTATCTAAAACTTATCAGGACATGATCTTTAATCCTGTCTCATAACAAACTTCTGATGGGATAGAAATTGAACTGTGAAGAGGTTCCAATGATGTCACTGTCAGACAGTATATGGCATTAGAACGCTACTTAAAATTTCTTCTGTAAGAAAATTCCTTGGAGATGCATTCTATCATCTTGCCAATATGGTGATGTCATATATTACTAGTAGTCTAACCTTCTTATAAGACATGACTCCTTTGATTTTCTTAAAGGCACTTAGCATTGGTAGTGCCAAAGAATATTACTGCCATGCAAAAAACGCAATCTAGAATCCAAAACCTGTTACTACATGTGATGAAAACTCTCCAACAATTCCACGTTTAGACCATTAAGACATGTCGTAAATTGTTCAGTTAAACTGGCATAAAGCTCACAGTGGCACATGGGATAGCACGCTATATGAAGAAAAAACTGGCAAATATATTAAATGAATGGCATTAAGGAATTGATGAGTTACACTAATACATCTGGAATTAAAGGTTTAAATACAAGCTAATTAAACTATTGCTTAAAAAATATCTCATTAGCACATTTAATCTGATCTTACATAAATGTCCTAGAGTATGATTCAAATCCACGGATGTTCAGACCAATGATCTATGGCCAATACTAAGCCCAAGGACATGAATGTACTTCTTGGTGACAATTTTGAATGTGATTTATTCTGATTCTTTTAAGAAGGTAGTTTTCCCATTTGCAAATTTAGTAAGATTTCATTGATGCATATTTCCTGCCTACAGTAATTCTCAGTTAACTCTCAAATGCTGTTTTTTTGAGTCATTAAAAAAATTCTGTTCACCTTATCCATCCTATTAATTGGGGTGTGTCTAAGTCCCTGCTATAACATCCTTCTTGGGCTGTGACTACTGCACTTGCCTGTTTACCATCAAAATCGAGCATGGGGGTATAAAGAGGAACCCAAGTAGATTATGTGGTCACACAAAACATATTCTTTCTCATTCCCATTATGTAAAAGCAGCCTACTTCAGGGTCAGTTACCCCATCAGCATGGGGACTTCTTTAATTGTCAGCATTCTTGGTCAGTAGCCTGAAGTCTGTGGGACATCAGGTCTGTATCTTATTCTCAAATAATTCAGGAAAAAAAGTTATTTTTTCTTCTTTTCTCTTTTATAAATATACTATATACACTATAAAATTAATGTGCAAGTTTTGCAACCTACTCTATTTTCTGAGAGTTTAAGTAACACTGTTATTATTTGTTTCTCAATATTTGTGTTAGGTTGTTATTGTGTGACAGAATTCACCAGTAAAACTGTCTGATCCTGGAGGTTACTTCCGGGCATGGTTTTGAGTTCAATTTATTTAGCAGATATAGGGACGTTCAGATTGTTTATTTCTTATTGTAGCAGTTTCAGTAGTTGCACTTCTCAAGGAATTTGTCCATTTAATTTACGTTTTCAAGTATATTGGTAGAATGTTGTTTACAACATTTTCTTACTATCTTTTTAATGTTTGTAAACTCTTCAGTGATGTCCCTTCATTCATTCCTGATGTTTCTAATTTGTAGCTTTTCTCTGTGTTAGAGTTTAATCACAAAGCAATATCACAATAAATGTTATAGAATCAATGAGTTATTCCCTAATACAATTGTAAGAAAAGCTGGAGAAATAAGAGTACAGAAGTGTCTGTTGCTGGGCCAGTGAAAACTTATTAAACAGCTGTCCAGCCTCCTAAAGCTCTGTCATTCACTTATACATTGTAAAGTTGGAAAACCGAATTATTGTTACTGTTGTATATTTTAATAGGAGTAAACAGCATAGTGGTGTTGGTTGTTTCTAAATGCACTTGAGAACTTGGAGAAAGAAAATTATGTTATCAGGACTTCATGTCTCCAGATGCTACCCTGCTGCTTGACTCCTCTCATACTTTTCCTTTCTCTTTTTATTTTCTTTTCTTATTCCTTTCTTTCTTTTTTAAATACACCTTCCTGCCCTGAGCCAGGGAGCCTGGTGGTGACCCTATCTGGCCCCTTCACAGCTTCCTCTCAAGACAAGGAAGGGCTGTCTTCCTGCTCTTCTGTCTGTCTCTCCAGTGCTGACCAACAGTATTTGTG
This sequence comes from Homo sapiens, assembly GCF_000001405.40. Classification (NCBI taxonomy): domain Eukaryota; kingdom Metazoa; phylum Chordata; class Mammalia; order Primates; family Hominidae; genus Homo; species Homo sapiens. Next base: position 110,872,049 of record NC_000005.10, read on the forward strand.
ATCTCAGTGCTTAAATATTCCCAAAGGCAGGTACCTTTGCCCCCACCTTGCAGCACAGCTGCCACCCTTTGGGTCTCAGTTTCCCCCTTGTCACACCCACAAGGACAGCCTGCCTTCTGACCTCGTGAAACCCCAACAGGCTCCCGACTCTCTGTGACCTGCGAGGCGGGAAGATCTTGCTGGGGCCAGATCGCTGAGCCTCCACCCTTCTGTGGCCCAGTGGCCTGGGCAGGAGTCTTCCACTTGGACCACATCTGCCAAGAGAAAACAACTGAGTCTGTGCTGGGGACTGCATGGCCGGGATGAGGTGACGCCCTGAGGACGCCGTGATGCCGCTGGTGTGGGATCTGGCCCAGGGCAAGTGCAAGGCGCTCCTACTTGGGCCTGGCCCTGCGAGGCAGCCGGCCACACGTCTTCAGTTACCACCACGCTGAGGCCTGGTCCCAGCCTGCCCTTGCCGGGCCTCAGTTTCCTCACATATGACCGGGGAAGCCCCTGCTTCCTGGGACTATGTGCCCCACAGAGGGCAGAGCTGCAGGACCCAGGGTGGCCCATTTTGCTGCAAGGTGATGTCCTCCAGCCACCTCCAGCCACTGCCTCCTTGGAGATGCAGCAAAGCAGGCTAAGGGAGAGCCCTGAGTGGTCAGTGACAGTGTGACCCAGGAAGGTCAGAACCACAGCCAAAAGGGAGCCCATGCTGCCAAGTGGCACCTGCTGGGAGGAGGGAGCCCTGTAGATCTCCCACGTGCTCCAGGAGAAGGAGAAGGTGGGATCTGGACACAGCCCACCTCCCTCTTCGCCAGAGTGTGCCCAGGTGTCCCGGGCATGTGGGCCACTGTCACATTGGCTGACCAGGGGCCTTCAAGGCAAGATGAAACCCACCCTCCCTTCCCCATCCCTGGAGGCAACCACTGGCCTCTGGAAGGACATATGAGTGTCTGCCCAAGAGGGGCCCATAGATGGCAGGACGGCTGCCCTGCGCCAGGAAGCACCACCCCTGCACCTCGAGCACCCACCTCTTAACAGCCCGTAAGGGCAGCTGCTCTAGGAGGGCCATTTGGATGAAGGCGATGGCCTTGGAGCTGGCATAGGACAAGCAGGGAGTGCCAGATGGAGAGGGCAGGCCCTGGTGCATGGTGAGTGCCAGGTAGGGAGACAGGCCTTGGCACATGGGGGACCTGTGCCAGCCACTGCTGCGCATAGGCCCAGGGACATTGTTGTTGGCCCTGTCAGCCTGTTGAGAGGAGGAAGATGACTTCGATGTTATCAGAGCAGGTTTGCAGGAGCTGCCAAAGCTGGCTGGACCACTAAGTAACCTCTAGAGCCTTAGTGTAAAAGGGGAGCTCTCAATGATAGGACAAAGAAAAATATTGGAAAAGGCTTATAGATGTTGATGGATTCTATTCTGGCATCTGCTGAAATTTGCCATTGTGGTATATAGTCTCTTTCATGGGTGGCCCTGAAAGACGGTGATAAAGGGAAGTCCTCTCCTCCCACTGGTTAATCTGTTTTATCTGAAAAGAGAGATGATCAGAGTTGTCTTTTCATTTATACTGATTGGCTCATGAGCAGTGGCTAATGGTAAGAAGGTCACTGATTAAATGATGAAAGGAGATTTGAAGAAATACCATGTGAAAGAAATGTTTCAAATGAGCACAGAATATGAAGATATTTGTCTCATGTAAATGCTCACCAAGTTGTAACCTGAACAAAGATTTAGCTTAATAATCAGGTGGACAAGATGTCTATCATGTGGACATCAGTCAGCCACCTGGATCTTGATAAATGGGCTTACAAACAAACTGGCCATGTAGGCAAGGTTAGAAACCATGTACGGACTAGTCAAATGATTTTCTACTTACAAAGGGTGATTTGGCTGAGCTGCTGCTGAGTGCCTAATCTGCCAACAGCCAAGACCAACAATGAGCTCTTGATATGGTGCCATTCACCTGGGGTACCAGTCAGCCACCAATGGCAGACTGATTACACTGGACAATTTCCATCATAAAAGGAGCAGCCTTTGCTCTCATTGGAATAAATATTTACTCCAGAAATGACTTGCCTTCCTTGACCACATTATTTCTGCCAAAACCATTATCTATAGTCTTATAGAATATCTTATTTCTTCTAACCATCAAACTCATATTTCAGCAATTGCAATTTGGCAATCGGCCCATGCTCATGGGATTAATTTGTCTTATCATGTTCCTTGTCACTCTATAGCAGATAACCTGAGATAATATCGAAATACTATATCATTTTAAAAGCTCAATTATGGTGCTAAGGCTTGGAGAAAACTCTTTAAGGAGCTGGGGCTATATCCTCCATAATAAAGTGTATTTTCTGAATTAGTGACTATTTTTATCCTACTTCTCCCATGACAAGGATTTAAGGATCTTGGAGTTAAGGACTAGACATTGCAGTGGTTTTTTGTCCTGGAACAACTTTAGACTCTGCTGGTTTGGAGCTCTGAGTTTCCAAGAAAGTAATGTTTCCATCAAGAAATATAATGTTGATTCCACTAAAATAGAAAGTGACTATTCCACTAAAATAAGAAGCACCACTTGACCAATTTGGACTACTCATGATAGTGAAGCAATATGCAAAGAAGCAGTTATTCACTGACTGGGGTAATTAACCCTAACTGCAAAAAGTATACTAGATTGCTGTTACACAACAAGGGCAGGAAGAAATATGTCTGGATTGCATAAATTATCTGGACCACCGCTTATTACTTCCATGTTTTGTGAGAAAAATTAAGAAAAAACTGAAACACCTATGAATTAAAAATGCTAATGTAGCAATCCTTTAGGGATGAAAGTTTGTGTTACTCCACCAGGCAATGAACTGTAACCAACTAAGATGACAATAATGAGGACTTGAGAAGTTTTGAGTATTTCTGAAAATGTCTTTATTTCAATTTTTGAAGAATAATTTCACTGCATATAATTTCAGTGTTCACTTTTTTTTTCATGTAGCATTTTAAAGATGCTCCATTTTCTGGTCTCTACTATTTCTGGCTAGAACTTAACTCTCCTTCATATCAACTTTCTCCTGTATGTAATGTGTTCAAATGTTAATCTCCTTCCTTCCTTCCTTCCTTCCTTCTTTCCTTCCCTTCCTTCCTTCCCTCCCTCCCTCCTTTCCTTCCTTCCTCCTTCCCTCCCTCCCTCTTTCTTTTTGTGTTTTCCTTCCTTTCCTTCCTTCCTTCTTTCCTTGCTTCCTTCCTTCCTTCTTTCCTTGCTTCCTTCCTTCCTTCTTTCCTTCCTTCCTCCCTCCTTTCCTTCCTTCTTTCCTCCCTTTCTTCCTTTTTCCTTCCTTCCTTCCTCCTTCCCTCCCTCCTTTCCCTTCCCTTCCCTTCCCTTTGCTTCCTTCCTTCCTTCCTTCCCTCCTTCCCTCCTTCCTTCCTTCCCTCCTTCCCTCCTTCCTTCCTGCCTCCCTCCCTCCCTCCCTTCCTTCCTTGACAGTCTCACTCTGTCACCCAGGCTGGAGTACAGTGGTGTAATCTCAGCCTCCTGGGTTCAAGCGATTCTTGTGCCTCAGCCTCCCAAGTAAGGGGGTGTATTAGGGTTCTCTAGAGGGACAGAACTAATAAGATAGATGTATATATAAAGGGGAGTTTATTAAGGAATATTGACTCACACAATCACGAGGTGAGTTCCCACAACAGGCCGTCTGCAATCTGAGGAGCAAGGAACCAGTTCGAGTCCCAAAACCTCAAAGGCAGGGAAGCTGACAAGGCAGCTTTTGGTCTGTGGTCAAAGGTCCGAGAGTCCCAAAGCCGAAGAACTTGGAATCCGATGCTTGAGGGCAGGAAGCATCTCACACGGGAGAAAGATGTAGGCTGGAAGACTAAGCCAGTCTAGTCTTCACACGTTCTTCTGCCTGCTTTTATTCTTGCCATGTTGGCAGCTGATTAGATGATATCCTCTCAGATTGAGGGTGGGTCTGCCTTTCCCAGTTCACTGATTCAAATGTTACTCTCCTTTGGCAACATCCTCATAGACACACCCAGAAACAATGCTTTGCATCCTTCAATCCAATCAAGTTGACATTTAACATCAACCATCACAGGGGTATTAGAGGTGTAAGTCACCATGCCTGGTTATTTTTTTTTTTTTAATTTTTTGTAGAGACAGAGTTTCATCATGCTGGTCTCAATCTCCTGGCCTCAACTGATCTGCCCGCCTACGCCTCTCAAAGTGCTGGGATTATAGCTGTGAGCCACCACACCCAGCCCTTTTTCTTTTTTTCTGTAGACCTCCTCAGTGGACATCTTTTCAACAATTTGACTGTGAAGATCATGAGCACATCATCTTCTTTGTATTTATCCTGCCTGAAAAGAGCTTGGTATTATTACATATGTAAGTTTATGTTTTTTTATGAAATTTTGGGATATTCCAGCCATTATTTGTCCAGTATTTTTCTTATTATTTGCCTATAATATTATTTGCCTTGTGCTTTAAGTCCAAAAGTTGTATATTTTAGAATCTCACTCAGAATAGTTACCTCCTTTCAAGGGTCAAAGCTTCTCAATTTTGGCTTGATTTGGGTCACACTTTAGTGTTATCAATTTTTGTCTTAAATTTTGTGTACAGTTCATAAATGTTATCTGTGTCAGGATTAGCCTAATGCAAGCTGCGCCCCCATTACCAAAATCTTTGGTTCTATTTTAAAATTCTTTTTATAATTTTTTCAGATGGAGGCATTTCTCAGTTTCTTCTAACACATATATTTAAAGTTATGGATATCATTCTAAGTGCTGCCTTAGCTCATGCCCATAAGCATTAATATATAATATTTGTATTAAATTAAAAGTACATTTTTATTTCTGTCAGTATTTTCAAATTGTTTTTCATTTTTAATTTTTTTGTGAGTACGTAGTAGGTGTATGTATTTATGGGGTACGTGAGATGTTTTAAAACAGGAATGCAATGTGAAATAATCACATCATGGAGAATGGGGTATCTATCCCTGTAAGCACTTATCCTTCATGTTACAAACAGTCCAAGTACACTCTTTTAGTCATTTTAAAATGTACAATTAAGTTATTATTGACTATAGTCACCCTGTTGTGTGATCAAATAATAAGGCTTATTCATTCTTTCTATTATTTTTTGTACCCACTAACTATCCTCACCTTACTGTCTTTCCAGGCCCCAATACCCTTTCCAGCCTTTGTTAACCATCCTCTAGTCTCTAGGTTCATGAGCTCAATTGTTTTTATTTTTAGTTCCCACAAATAAGTAAAAACAGGAAAATTTTGTCTCTCTGTGCCTGGCTTATTTCACTTAACATAATGATCTCCAGTTCTATTAATGTTGTTGCAAATGACAGGACATCATTTTTATGGCTGAATAGTACTCCATTGTGCGTATGTACCACATTTTCTTTATCCATTCATCTGGACTGATGGATGCTTAGGTTGCTTCCAAATCTTAGCCATTGTAAACAGTGCTGCAACAAACATGGGGGTGCAGATATCTCTTTGATATACTGATTTCCTTTTTTAGGGTATGTACCCAGCAGTGGGATTGCTGTATTGCATGGTAGCTGTATTTTTAGTTTCCTGAGGAACCTCCAAACTGTTCCCCATAGTAATTGTACTAATTTACATTCCATCAACACTGTAAAAGGCTTCCCTTTTATCTACAGCCTCACCAGCATTTGTTATCGTCTGTCTTTCAGAGATAAACCATTTTAACTAGGATAAGATGATATCTCATTGTAGTTTTGATTTGCATTTCTCTGTTGATCAGTGCTGTTGAGCACGTTTTCACATACCTGTTTCCCATTTGTATGTCTTTTTTTGGGAAATGTCTATTCAAATCTTTTGCCCATTTTGATTAGATTATTAAATTTTTTCCTGCATTAGGAGTTTGAGCTCCTTATATACTCAGGTTATTATTCATTTGTCAGATAGGTACTTGGCAAATGTTTTCTCCCATTCAGTGGGTTGTCTCTTCACTTCATTGATTGCTTCCTACACAGTACAGGTTTTTAACTTGATGTGATTCCATTTGTCCATTTTTGCTTTGATTGCCAGTGCTTATGGGGTATTGCTCAAGAAATTTTTGCCCAGACCAACTTTCTGGAAATTTTCTCCAATGTTTTCCTGTAGTAATTTCATAGTTTGAGGTCTTAGATTAAGCCTTTAATCCATTTTGATTTGAGTTTTGTATATGGTGATTCATTATTTGAGTTTTGCATATGGTGATGCATTATTTGCATATGGATATTTTCCCAGCACCATTTATTGAACAGACTTGTCTTCTCCTCAGGGTATGTTCTTGGCCCTTCTGTCTAAAATGAGTTCACTCTAAGTTTATGGATTTGTTTCTGGTCTCTCTATTCTGTTCCATTGATCTATGTGTCTGTTTTTATGCCAGTAATATGTTGTTTTGGTTGCTGTTGCCCTGTAGTATAATTTGAAGTCAGGTAATGTGATCCCTCTAGTTTTGTCCTTTATGTTTAAGATAGCTTTGGACATTCTGGGTCTTTGGTGGTTCCATATAAATTTTAGGATTATTATTTTCTATTTCTTTGAAAAATGACATTGGTATTTTGATAGAGATTGCATTGGATCTGTAGATTGGTTTGGGTAGTATGGACACTTTAACAATATTGATTCTTCCAACCCTTGAACTTGGAACATTTTTGCATTTTTTATTGTCCTCTTCAATCTTTTTCATCAGTTTATAATTTTCATTATAGAGAATTTTGCTTCTTTGGTTAAATAAATTCCTAGCATTTTAATTTTATTTGTGGATATTATAAATGGGATTACTTTTTAAAATTTCTATTTCACATTGCTCACTGTTGCTATACAGAAATACTACTAATTATTGTATGTGGATTCTGCATCCTGCATCTGCCAGTATTTTAAAACTGAATCCATGAAATAGAAGAGATTTAAAAATTTTTAAACATACGGCAATATTTTAGTTATGATTTTGTTATTCATTTCTTTTTTTTTTTGAGATGAGTTTCACTGTGTTGCCCAGGCTGGAGGGCAGCGGTGCGATCTCAGTTTACTGTAATCTCTGCCTCCTGGGTTCAAGCAATTCTCATGTCTCAGCCTTTCGCGTAGCTGTGACGATAGGTGGGCGCAACCATGCCCAGCTAATTTTTGTACTTTTAGTAGAGACAGGGTTGGCCACGTTGGCCAGGCTAGTCTCAAACTCCTGACCTCAAGTGATCTGCCTACCTCAGCCTCCCAAAGTTCTGGGATTACAGAAATAAGCCACTGCACCCAGACTGTTATTCATTTCCATTTTAACTTTAGAGAACATACTCTATATGATTTCAGCTTTTTGACTGTACAGGGTCAATTTATTGTGAAATTTTTGTGTTTGTAAATAATACGTAATATGTAATTGTTCATGCAGTGTTCTAACATGTATCTACTTAGAAAAGTTTGTCAACAATGTTGCTTAAGTATTCCTTATGTACACTGATTCGTTTGTTTGCTTTTCTCCTAGATACTGAGAGCACTTTGTCAAAAGAGCCCATGATGATTGTGGATTTCAGTATTCCTCCCTGAAGGACTCTCAAATTTTGTTTTACATATTTTTAGGCTATATTATTAAGTACTGTTAAATCAAGTTTAGCCTAAAGCTGCCTCCTTACATATTTAAGTTTGGCCTAAAGGTTTCTCTGTACATTGTGAACTATAACAAGCGGAGGTGTAAACAGACCATAGCCTACACTTCTGCCACTAACTGATGTTTGGCCAATCAATGTAGACAAGTGTTTGGATCGTGTTCAAATAAGGCAAACACTGAGCTGTAATCAATCTGGCTGTTTCTGTACCTCATTTCCATTTTCTGTACCTCACTTCCCTTTTTCTGTCCATAAATCTTCTACCACGTGGCTGCACTGGAATCTCAGGGCATACTCTGGCTTAGGAGGCTGCACAATTCGCAAATCATTCATTGCTCAGTTAAACTCCTTTAAATTAAATTTTGCTGAAGTTCTTCTTTCATCAGACAGCATCAGAAGTAGGATCCCAAGTAGAGCTTCTAATGACCCCCGAGAGCACTGAGCAACCAAGCAAGCTACCCGCCAGGCCCACTGTGTCCCTTTCTCTCCCAGAGCAGCTGGGGAGCCTGGTATTCTCCTGGTATTTGGATTCTCTGATTCCAAAGCTCCACAGATTTGTGTTTTAATTTTTGCTGCGGTTATTGTTTGTTTTTTGAAATGGGATGTCACTCTGTTGCTCAGGCTGGAGGGCAGTGGTGTGATCTTTGCTCTCTGCAACTTCTGCCTCCTGGGTTCAAGCAATTCTCCTGCCTTAGCCTCTTGAATAGCTGGGATTACAGGCACCCACCAACATGCCCGGCTTTTTTTTTTTTTTTTTTTTGTATTTTTAGTAGAGATAGGGTTTTGCCATTTTGGCCAGGCTAGTCTTGAACTCCTGACCTCAAGTGATTTGCCCGCCTCAGTCTTCCAAAGTGCTGGGATTACAGGCATGAGTCACCATGGGCCAGATTTGTGTTTTGATCCAAGTTTCCTTGAACAAATTTCTGATCCAAACTGGGTTTGGAAGTCATGACAGAAACTGGACTGGGTCCAGGATCTGATTGGCTCCAGTAATTAACTGGCTTGGATCCAGTTAGAGGCCTCTTACATCTGAGTGAGTCAGAAAGAAACTGGTTGTAAATGGCAATGGAAATTCGCAGAGATTTTTGTGTTCTAACCTCTTGTTTTCATTTTTACTGTGTGCTCAGGCAGGAAAAATATCACTGTGTGAGGTGATCAAGGTAACCTGAGAGTAAAGCCAATATTTGAGGTAAAAATGGGATCCTTAATTTCTGAAGAAATGAGTTCCTTCTGGCTTAAACATGCATAAGTATTCGGCCCAGGAAGCAATGAAGTCTTACAGAAATGGCAAAATCTTACTAAAGATAACTTACAGTGGAACATTCCAAATGAACAGCACTGCACTGAAGTGTATTTGAAAATAAGGGCTCCCCAAGATTGTGCCACTGTACTCCAGCCTGGGCAAGAGAGCGAGACTCTAAGAAAAAAAAAAAAAACCCGCAAACAAAAAACAGAAAAGGAAAAGACGGGCTCCCAAATTAATCTCATCTAGGGATGCCTATTGATTTGCAGAAGCTTCTTAAAAAATTTTCAGTATTTTTATTTAAAAACTTTATGAAAGGCAAATAAAAACCTTAAGCGACTAATTGGTTAAAAAAATGTCTACTAACCTTTGGCTTAGTTACTACCCCAATCCAAAGGAAACAAGACTTCACACCAATTGGCTGACTTTGGGTAAGTAGTGGGGTACATTTTACTTGGGTAAATGGTGGAATTGGATTGCAGGCCCTCCCCTCAGTAAAGTCCCTCTTGGTTAAAAAGGGATTTGGCACTATGGGATGTTAACTGCTATTCTCTTTGGATTAATCTGCCTTGCACTTTTTGCTGATGGCTATGGGTGACAGGATTAGACATGTATAGGAATGAGACATGGGGAACATTTTTCTCCCCAAAGGGGAAAAGTTGAGAGCTGATGGGACTGCTGGAAAAGATCCCTTTTATGACTGACAAGTGGCCATCTGATCTTTAAATCAGTGTTGCTGCAGTGGGTAGGTCTTTCTCTGGCCTCCCTGAGATCTCTGCTATACCTACCCCAACACAGGCAATGTTTTCTCTCTCTTTTTCTCCTTTCCCTTTTCTATCTTTTCTGTTACTCAGGGTGACCATCTTGCCCAGAGAACACATGCTGAAACTCATTTAATCCACTTTGAGTGGACTAAAGATGACGGAGCCCAACCAGGAACAAGTTTAAGCCTAACCAGTTGATATTGGGCACTAAGCAGAGTGGTTAATGTTTTGTCACACGTATTTTGCCCTGGCTAGAATGGAAAATGTTAATTTGGGTCTCCTATGTAGTCGGTTGGGTGGCAACTTACAAAATTGAGAGATTGCCTATGGTTCCATGAAACCAAAAAAGATGATTTTCCTTTGTGTTGTGGCTTGGGACCCATGGCTCTGGAGCATCTAGCAGGGTTGCTACGGCCACTCAGGGAAGGTCACCCAGAAACCTGGCATGCCAGCAAAAGGGTAAGGATTCCTTACCAGTCAGAATTCTGGCCTCTCTCTCTGTGCAAACTGGTTGTAGCAATGGTAAAAATCACTGTCTCCTCCGCAAAGTTTTGATTAATTGGAAGAAAGGATTTGTGAGGCTAGTCTTAAGCTGTAGCAAATCTGGCATTCTTTGTGCTAAAAGCTTGTCTTTCTGCATTGTTCCATCATAAAAAGGGGTACCATAGGATGGAATGCGGGCCTAGGACCCCCATAAGCTTGCTGTTCAAGCCAGCTTGGCAAACTGGTTAGTTACAAACTTTGCTGCAGGTCCCTGAAACAAAAAACTGGGTGAGGATTTCCTCTCGTATGTCCTTGGGAAAAACAAAGGCGGTGCCACATTTTAGAGAAAATCTCTATATTCCTCATGGAACCCCAGGAATTGAAAGTAGATAGATTTCCCTCAACATCTAAGACTCCGTTTTATTTTTCATTGTGGTATTTGATGTTTTTTACTTGGGCAGGGGGTGGGGGTTGTGGGGACATCAGAAATTACTTCACATTATCAGAGAACTTTGGTGTGTAATAAGTAGGTAGGAAATAAACCTTTAGGGATGGCAAGTGACAGTTATGGGGGAACACTCTGCTCTTTCCACGTTTGGATCAGAGAAGCATGCTCTTGGCCACCAAGAAAGTATAGAAATATCCTGACCCACACTGAGATAAGATTCCCATGGAGGATGGGCTGATTGCAGAATGGGCTGATCAACAGCACATGGTAAAATCATTGCACTGCCTTGTTCAGCATTTCATTTTTGGGGATCCAGGATTCAGTATGAAAATGACTCCCAGAATTTTTTGGGATCTGTTTTGCCTTCCAGCTGTGACTGCTTATTAGGCCCTAGAAACTACATGTTTTCCTAGCTCTGTTCTTCTAAGGACACCACCCTGAATCCAGTAACCTAATAAAGAAACTTAAAAACTGCAAATGAAAAATCTTACAATTACTAGATCTTCTGTCTCTCTGTGTTGTTATATGTGTTATGTGTGTAATGTTTATATATGAAAGAGTTCTGATTAATTGGCTTAAAAACAATAAGTGCTTAAATCAAATATTTTGTCAGAAAAATACAACTGTGATGCCTTTTAGTTCACCTTTGGGAAATAAAGAGTTTTCAAGATCATTGGTAAAATAAAGAGATTTGGTCTAAATTAAGCAGGTCAGATATTAGGTTTGCTAAATGCTTTAAGGAGATAAACTGCTTCTTTGGCGTTTGAAAATTGTTTAAATCACCTGCTTTGGAGCCATTAGATTCTAGGTAAGGCCTGGGGACATGTGAAGTTAGCCAAGCCCCATGGCTATGCTGGAAAGTCAGACTTTACCTGCACTTCTATCTGGTGTCCTAAGCTCCACACCTAGTACATAATTAAAATCATTCACTTACCTGGTTTTTCACCAAAAATTAAAATTGCCAAGAGTTAACGTTGTAACATATAATTGAGACTACTGAATAAACAGTTTTAGTTGCAAGGTATGTGAGGAAAATGAAATGTACGTTTGATAAAATATTATTAGAAGGCATGGGAATGTGTTTTTTGTTTGTTTGTCCAGATTCAAGGGTTAAAGGATTGTTTTAAGTTAGATAGGATAAAGCTGAAGGTTTAAACAAAGTGTAGAAAGTTCATGAGAAATTAGTCGTGTAAAAGAAATTCTGTGTGTGAATATATTGGCTAAAGTTAAAGGGGTATTTTTCATTTTTTTCTGTAAATTGAACATTAAAAGCACAAACAAGGTTTTCTTAGGACACTGATCTGCTCTTTAAAAATTTTGTAAAATGTTATAAAAGGTTTATGAGAATCTCACATGGTCAAACTGATTAAGATTGGATAGATTTGTTTATAAGGGTTTATTAAAAATAGGAGTTGACATTAATAGCACACTAATGCAAGGGTGAAATTTGGCTTTCTCTCTTGAACCAGATTTTCATGTACTATTAAAGGATAATGAAAGATTTTTGTTTGCCTTTTGAATAAACTATAGGACAAATAAGAGAAAGACGAGAGACAGATTGTTTGGAAAGCTAAGTGTTCCGTCTATCAATGAGTAAAGGTTTTGCCTTTTAAAAATGTTTGAGTCATCATTTTGGCTAAATGAATGACTTATGGTGACCTGGAATTCTATTTCATAATTTCAAGTGTTTAAACCTTTAACATATTTGGTAGGCTTCCCAAAATCAAATTTTAGCTTCAAAGTTGCATTTTCTGACCTCTAACTTTGGGATGCTGCAGAGGGCCCCTGAAGCATCCAAAAAAGAGGCAACCAGAATTATTTGACACGTTAAGTTACATGGGAAGCATTGTCAAAATAAAAAATAATGTTTAACCTTCTTCAGGTTATATTATAGTGCATGATATTAAAATATGTTCCAAAATTACACAGGATTTCTAAAATTCTAATATGTCTGAGTATATGCTATCAACCATAATTATGGTTATTATATTAAGTTATTGTAGACCACAGAAATAACCAAATTTCCTTTTCAATTATATCTTTAACTATGACTATTTAAAGTCATTTCTACAGTTAATTGCTTAATTCTGATGCAGTTTCTGAAAACTGCATGAGCACGCAAAACCCTAGAATATGATGTCTTTTAGGAGGCTCATGAAAGGATGGAAAGGACCCTGGAAACCACTTTGGAATACAGGTTTCTGATGACTAGAATCATGTCATTTGGACTGGGTAAGATTTCCTGGAACTTTAATGAAAAGATTGACTGGTTTATAGAACCGCTAATCCAAGTAGAACAAAAATTAATTGAATACCAAGAAAATACTTTGACAGATTTTCATGCTGAATCAGCCAATACTGAAATTGTTTAGTTATACAGTTTGAATGAACTCCATGGTCTAAGTCAAATTACCTATGATAACTCATTAATTATCAGTCTTTTGCACTGAAATTGGAGAAACAACTGGTATTCAAGAGGACATAAGTCCAATGTTAAGCATGGACTCATGGAGAACCAGGACAGCCACCTTGTTCTTCCTGAGTCCTTAATGTTTTTCTTATTAAAAGTTCTGCATTCCATGACTTATCATGGAAAAGATAAAATAATCCAAATTAAATAGATATTGGTATGGTGACTTCTAAATTGCTAAAATAGTTTATGACCAATATTTGGTTTCTCAAACCCATATTCTTGGGAAGACAATCAAAGCTTCAGGTACATTTGGCTACCTGAAGGGCCATTTAAACATTTATAGAGGGATTTCATTCAATTGTCATTTTCTTTTTTTTTTTTTTTTTTTTTTTTGAGACGGAGTCTCGCTCTGTCGCCCAGGCTGGAGTGCAGTGGCGCGATCTCGGCTCACTGCAAGCTCCGCCTCCCGGGTTCACGCCATTCTCCTGCCTCAGCCTCCCAAGTAGCTGGGACTACAGGCGCCTGCCACCACGCCCGGCTAATTTTTTGTATTTTTAGTAGAGACGGGGTTTCACCGTTTTAGCCGGGATGGTCTCGATCTTCTGACCTCGTGATCCGCCCGCCTCGGCCTCCCAAAGTGCTGGGATTACAGGCGTGAGCCACCGCACCCGGCCTCAATTGTCATTTTCAATGCAGATTTTCTGGTTATATAAAAGCTTTCCCACGTGAGAGGGCTGATGTTGTAACTGTAGATTATTATGTCACCATGCATTTTTACCAGGTAAAGAAAGCTTTTATGGGTCACTGACTGAGGACAATCAACCCCTTAACAACCTAGAACCTGAAGACTGGATCTTCTGAGAACATCAGAGAAAGACTGCTCTTGCCACCTGTACTGCAGCATAACTTCAGGACCTGAACCTTGGGTTCATAATCTCATAACCAAGAAGGGTCCCTCCATACTCTTGGAACTGTACACCCATTGGAAACCTTAAGGTGAAGCTAACCTGGGAAGTCTCTCCCCAGAAGATGGCATCCTTAATGTGAACAGCTTCTCCTAAGATCACAGATCAGGACTTCTCTACTATCATGAGACTCTTATCTTTGAATATTTGTTCTCTTGCTGATGCCTCTATGAAAAACAGAAGTGAAAGCGGGTCTTTTGTGTGAACTCATGGGGTATACTTTTATTTGTGAAGGACTTTACAGCCAGCCTTAAACATGGATAACCTTATACTTTGATAAATGAAAGATGAAGACCCAATGCAGGTTGTAAATTTTAATGGTACGTACTTTGCCTCATAATCAGTTAGAAACAGAACATTTGTTTGCTCCTCTTAACCTACGTCATGGGTTAATGAGAACATTGCCAGGAAGCGTTCACTCTTCTAGAAGGACATCATTGTTAGGTCCTTTTCCATGGTTTGGAGTAAAAGATGCAATGATTAGAAATATATTCCTCATGATAGTCTCTATAGCAGATTCTACTGTAAAGGTTATGGTTACACAACAGACTTTAAATTATCTTGTGAATATTATGCTAAATAATAGAATTACTCTAGATTACTTACTGGCTAAGCGGGAAACCATCTCTGCAGCTGCTGGCACTTGTGGCCTATGGAGAAATACATCACGTTAGGTATTATAGAGATTCAGTTGTAGGGGATTAATGCAGAGACTGCTTAGTTAAGCAAGTGGATTCTTTAGCTCATTCTTTGATCTATTTAATTGTAAGTGGTTTTGTTTACGGGGACCCTGGGTAAGGACCATACTCCAAATATTATCCTCCTGACAGCCATAATGGTAGTTCCCCAGTGTGCTGTATTCTCTCAAAAGTTTTAAATGTTTGCATTCAGCCATACCTAGAATGTCAAATGGTCTCTCTTTAACTGGAATGAAAAGAGATGAAAGAACTGTGTGACCAGGAGGGCACTGTAACCTATGAATGACATGCTGAGACTGGACACCCAAAATGATGGTAACTAAGAGTAGCACTAAGGCCCTAAGTTTTGGTCACACTCTCACCTAAGTGAGAAGCTGACCAAAAAGGGGGAATATCAATATATTTACTTTAAGTTCTGGAATACATGTGCAGAACGTGCAGGTTTGTTACATAGGTACACGTGCCATGGTGGTTTGCTGCACTGATCAACCCGTAATCTACATTAGGTATTTCTCCTAATACCATTTCTCACCTAGCCCCCCAACCCCTGACAGGCCCCAGTGTGTAATGTTACCCTCCCTGTGTCCACGTGTTCTCATTGTTCGACTCCCACTTATGAGTGAGAATATGCGGTGTTTGGTTTTCTGTTCTTGTGTTAGTTTCCTGAGAATGATGATTTCCAGCTTCATCCATGTCCCTGCAAAGGTCATGAACTCATCCTTTTTTATGGCTGCATAGTATTCCATGGTGTATATGTGCCACATTTTCTTTATTCAGTCTATCATTAATGGGCATTTGGATTGGTTCCAAGTCTTTGCTATTGTGAACAATGTTGCAATAAACATACATATGCATGTGGTCTTTATAGTAGAATGATTTATAATACTTTGGGTATATATCCAGTAATGAGATTGCTGGGTCAAATGGTATTTCTGGTTCTAGATCCCTGAGGAATTGCCACACTGTCTTCCACGATGGCTGAACTAATTTACACTCCCACCAACAGTGTAAAAGCATTCCTATTTCTCCACATCCTCTCCAGCATCTGTTGTTTCCTGACTTTTTAATGATCACCATTCTAACTGGCATGAGATGGTATCTCATTGTTGTTTTGATTTGCATCTCTAATGACCAATGATGATGAGCTTTTTTTCTTATGTTTGTTGGCTGCATAAATGTCTTCTTTTGAGAAGTGTCTGTTCATATCCTTTGCCCACTTTTTGATGGGGTTGGTTTTTTTTCTTGTAAATTTGTTTAAGTTCCTTGTAGATTCTGGATTTTAGCCCATTGTCAGATGGGTAGATTGCAAAAATTTTCTCCCATTCTGTAGGCTGCCTGTTCACTCTGATGATAGTTTCTTTTGCTGTGCAGAAGCCCTTTAGTTTAATAAGATCCCATTCATCAATTTTGGCTTTTGTTGCCATTGCTTTTGGTGTTTTAGTCATGAAGCCTTTGCCCATGCCTATGTTCTGAATGGTATTGCCTAGGTTTTCTTCTAGGGTTTTTATGGTTTTAGGTTTTAGGTTTAAGTCTTTAGTCGTCTTGAGTTAATGTTTGTATAAGGTATAAGGAAGAGGTCCAGTTTCAGTTTTCTGCATATGGCTAGCCAGTTTTCCCAACACCATCTATTAAATAGGGACTCATTTCCCCATTGCTTATTTGTGTCAGGTTTCTCAAAAATCAGATGATTGTATACATGTGGCATTATTTCTGAGGCTTCTGTTGTGTTCCACTGGTCTATACTGTTTGGTACCAGTACCATGCTGTTTTGATTACTGTGGCCTTGTAGTATAGTTTGAAGTCAGGTAGTGTAATACCTCCAGCTGTGTTCTTTTTGCTTAGTATTGTCTTTGTTATACGGGCTCTTTTTTGGTTCCATATGAAATTTAAAGTAGTTTTTTTCTAATTCTGTGAAGAAAGTCAATGGTAGCTAGATGGGGATAGCATTGAATCTGTAAATTACTTTGGGCAGTATGGCCATTTTCAAAATATTCATTCTCCCTAATCATAAGCATGGAATGTTTTTCCATTTGTTCATGTTCTCTCTTATTTCCTTGAGCAGTGGTTTGTAGTTCTCCTTGAAGAGGTCCTTGACATCCCTTATAAGTTGTATTCCTAGGTATTTTATTCTCTTTGTAGCAATTGTGAATGGAAGTTCACTCACGATTTGGCTATTATTGGTGTATAGGAATTCTTGTGATTTTTGCACATTGATTTTATATCCTGAGACTTTCCTTAAATTGCTGATCAGCTTAAGGAGATTTGGGGCTGAGATGATGGGGTTTTCTAAATATACAATCATGTCATCTCCAGACAGAGACAATTTGACTTCCTCTCTTCCTATTTGAATACCCTTTATTTCTTTCTCTTGCCTCATTGCCCTGGCCTCAACTTCCAATACTATGTTGAATAGGAGTGGTGAGAGAGGGCATCCTTGGCTTGTGCTGGTTTTCAAAGGAATGCTTCCAGCTTTCGCCCATTCAGTATGATATTGGCTGTGGGTTTGTCATAAGTAGCTCTTATTATTTTGAGATATGTTCCATTAATATCTAGTTTATTGAGAGTTTTTAGCATGAAAGTGTGTTGAATTTTCAAAGGCCTTTTCTGCATCTATTGAGATAATCAGGTGGTTTTAGTCATTGGTTTTTGCCACTCTGTTTATGTGATGGATTATGTTTATTGATTTGTGTATGTTGAACCAGCCTTGCGTCCCAGGGATGAAGCTGACCTGATCATGATGGATAAGCTTTTTGATGTGCTGGTGGATTCGGTTTGCCAGTATTTTATTGAGGATGTTTGCATCGATGTTCATCAGGGATATTAGCCTGAAATTTTCTTTTTTTGTTGTGTCTTTGCCAGGTTTTGGTATCAGGATGATGCTGGCCTCATAAAATGAGTTAGTGAGGAGTCCCTCCTCCTCAATTTTTTGGAATAGTTTTAATAGCAATTGTACCATCTCTTCTTTGTATCTCTAGTAGAATTCAGCTGTGAATGCATCTGGTCCTGGGATTTTTTTTGTTGTTGTTGGTAGGCTGTTTATTATAGCCTCAATTTTGGAACTCATTATTGGTCTATTCAGGGATTCAGTTTCTCCCTGATCCAGTCTTGGGAGGGTGTATGTGTCCAGGAATTTATCCATTCTTTCTAGATTTTCTAGTTTATTTGCATAGAGGTATTTATAGTATTCTCTGATGGTAGTTTTTATATCTGCAGGATCAGTGGTGATATCTGCTTTATCATTTTTTGTTGCATCTATTTGATTCTTCTCTCTTGTCTTCTTTATTAGTCTCACTAGCAGTCTATTTTGTTGATCTTTTTAAAATACAAACTCCTGGATTCATTGATTTTTTTGAAGGGTTTTTCATATCTCTATCTCCTTCAGTTCTGTTCTAATCTTAGTTATTTCTTGTCTTTTGCTAGCTTTTGAATTTGTTTGCTTTTGCTTCTCTAATTCTTTTAATTGTGATGTTAGGGTGTCAATTTTAGATCTTTCCAGCTTTCTTCTGTGGGCATTTAGTGCTATAAATTTCCCTCTAAACACTGCTTTAGCTGTGTTCCAGAGATTCTGGTACTTTGTGTCTTTGTTCTTATTGGTTTCAAATAACTTATTTATTTCTGCCTTAATTTTGTTATTTACCCAGTAGTCATTCAGGAGCAGGTTATTCAGTTTCCATATAGTTGTGCGGTTTTGACTAGTTCCTTAATCCTGAGTTCTAATTTGATTGTACTGTGGTCTGAGAGACTGTTGTGATTTCCGTTCTTTTGCATTTGCTGAGGAGTGTTTTACTTCCAACTATGTGGTCCATTTTAGAATAAGTGCAATGTGGTGCTGAGAAGAATGTATATTCTGTTGATTTTGAGTGGAGAGTTCTGTAGATGTCTATTAGGTCCACTTGGTTCAGAGCTGAGTTCAAGTCTGAATATCCTTGTTAATTTTCTGTCTTGTTGATCTGTCTAATATTGACAATGGGGTATTAAAGTCTCCCACTATTATTCTGTGGGAGTCTAAGTCTCTTTGTAGGTCTCTAAGAACTTGCTTTATGAATCTGGGTGCTCCTATATTGGGTGCCTACATATTTAGGATAGTTAGCTCTTCTTGTTGCATTGATTCCTTTACTGTTATGTAAAGCCCTTCTTTGTCTTTTTTTATCTTTGTTGGTTTAAGTCTGTTTTATCAGAGACTAGGATTGCAACCCCTGCTTTTTTTTTTTTTTTTTTTTTTTTTTTTTTGCTTTCCATTTGTTTGGTAAATATTCCTCCATCCCTTTATTTTCAGCCCATGTGTGTCTTTGCACATGAGATGGGTCTCCTGAATACAGCACATCAATGGATCTTAACTCTTTATCCAATTTTCCAGTCTATGTCTTTTAACTGGGGCATTTAGCCCATTTACATTTAAGGTTAATGTTGTTATGTGTGAATTTTATCCTGTCATTATGATGCTAGCTGCTTATTTTGCTCATTAGTTGATGCAGTTTCTTCATAGCATCAATGGTCTTTACAATTTGGTATGTTTTTGCAGTGGCTGGTACTAGTTGTTCCTTTCCATGTTTAGTGCTTCCTTTAGAAGCTCTTGTAAGACAGGCCTGGTGACGACAAAATCTCTCAGCACGTGCTTGTCTGTAAAGGATTTTATTTCTCCTTCACTTATGAAGCTTAGTTTGGCTGGATATGAAATTGTTGGTTGAAAATTCTTTTCTTTAAGAATGTTGAATATTGGCCCCCACTCTCTTCTGGCTTGTAGGGTTTCTACAGAGAGATCTGCTGTTAGTTGGATGGGCTTCCCTTTGTGGGTAACCCGACCTTTTTCTCTGGCTACCCTTAACATTTTTTCCTTCATTTCAACCTTGGTGAATCTGACGATTATGTGTCTTTTGGTTGCTCTTCTAAAGTTTGTGGTGTTCTCTGTATTTCCTGAATTTGCATGTTGGCCTGTCTTGCTAGGTTTGGGAAGTTCTCCTAGATAATATCCTGAAGAGTGTTTTCTCACTTGGTTTCATTCTCCCCATCACTTTCAGGTACACCAATCAAACGTAGGTTTGATCTTTTCACATAGTCCCATATTTCTTGGAGGCTTTGTTCATTTCTTTTCATTCTTTTTTCTCTAATCTTGTCTTCGTGCTTTATTTCATTAAGTTGATTTTCGATCTCTGATATATTTTCTTCTGCTGGATCGATTCAGCTATTGATACTTGTGTATGCTTCATGAAGTTCTCATGCTGTGTTTTTCATCTCTATCAGGTCATTTATGTTTTTCTTTAAACTGGTTATACTAGTTAGCAATTCCTCTAAACTTTTTTCAACGTTCTTAGTTTCCTTGCATTGGGTTAGAACATGCTCCTTTAGCTCAGAGGAGTTTGTTATTACCCACTTTCTGAAGCCTACTTCTGTCAATTCATCAAACTCATTCTCTGTCCAGTTTTGTTCCCTTGCTGGTGAGGAGTTGTGATCCTTTGGAGGAGAAGAGGCATTCTGGTTTTTGGAATTTTCAGCTTTTCTGCACTGGTTTTTCCTTATCTTCATGGATTTATCTACCTTTGGTCTTTGCTGTTGTTGACCTTTGGATGGGGTTTCTGTGTGGACATCCTTTTTGTTGATATTGATGCTATTCCTTTCTGTTTGTTTTCCTTCTAACAGTCAGGACCCTCTGCTGCAGGTCTGCTGGAGTTTGCTGGAGGTCCACTCCAGATACTGTGTGCCTGGGTACCACCAGCAGAGGCTACAGAACAGCAAAGATTGCTGCCTGTTCCTTCCCCTGGAAGCTTCGTCCCAGAGGGGCACCCACCAGATGCCAGCCGGAGCTCTCCTGTATGAGGTGTCCATCGACCTCTGCTGGGAGATGTCTCCCAGTCAGGAGGCATGGGAGTCAGGCACCCACTTGAGGAGGCAGTCTGTCCCTTAGCAGAGCTCGAGCACTGTGCTGGGAGATCCACTGCTCTCTTCAGATCTGGCAGGCAGGAATGTTTAAGTCCGCTGAAGCTGACTCCATAGCCACCTGTTTCCCCAGGTGTTATTACAGATAGTTTTATCTATAAGCCCCTGACTGGGGCTGCTGCCTTTCTTTCAGAGATGCCTTGCCCAGAGTGGAGGAATCTAGAGAGGCAGTCTGGCTACAGCAGCTTTGCCTAGTTGCAGTGGGCTCCACCCAGTTTGAACTTCCTGGTGGCTTTGTTTACACTGTGAGGGGAAAACCGCCTACTCAAGCCTCAGTAATGGCAGATGCAATGGGAAATTTTTAAACAAAATTATGGGAGGCCATTGTTTTGGACTGAATTCATGCACTAGGCCCCAACAGCCCAGACCAAACCAAAATGGAGCCACTTGTGCTAAACTTGACATAATCAAACTAAGACTTTAAGGAAACACATAGATCCTAGTGTGTCCAGAATTAGTGGGTTCTTGGTCTCACTGACTTCAAGAATGAAGCCGCGGACACTCGCGGTGAGTGTTACAGTTCTTAAAGGCGGCGTGTCCGGAGTTTGTTCCTTCTGATGTTCGGATGTGTTCAGAGTTTCTTCCTTCTGGTGGGTCGGTGGTCTCGCTGGCTCAGGAGTGAAGCCGCAGACCTTCACAGTGAGTGTTACAGCTCTTAAGGCAGGACGTCTGGAGTTGTTTGTTCCTCCTGGTGAGCTCGTGGTCTCGCTGGCTTCAGGAGTGAAGCTGCAGACCTTCGTGGTGAGTGTTACAGCTCATAAAGGCAGTGTGGAACCAAAGAGTGAGCAGCAGCAAGATTTATTGCAAAGAGCAAAAGAACAAAGCTTCCACAGTGTAGAAGGGGACCCAAGCGGGTTGCCACTGCTGGCTCCCGCAGCCTGCTTTTATTCTCTTATCTGGCCCCACCCACATCCTGCTGATTGGTAGAGCTGAGTGGTCTGTTTTGACAGGGCGCTGATTGGTGTGTTTACAATCCCTGAGCTAGACACAAACGTTCTCCACGTCCCCACCAGATTAGCTAGATACAGAGTGTGGACACAAAGGCTCTCCAAGGCCCCACCAGAGTAGCTAGATACAGAGTGTCAATTGGTGCATTCACAAACCCTGAGCTAGACACAGGGTGCTGATTGGTGTGTTTACAAACCTTGAGCTAGATACAGAGTGCCCATTGGTGTATTTACAATCCCTGAGCTAGACATAAAGGTTCTCCAAGTCCCCACCAGAGTAGCTACATACAGAGTGTCAATTGGTGCATTCACAAACCCTGAGCTAGACACAGGGTGCTGATTGGTGCATTTACAATCCCTTAGCTAGACATAAAGGTTCTGCAAGTCCCCACCAGACTCAGGAGCCCTGCTGGCTTCACCCAGTGGATCCCGCACGGGGGCTGCAGGTGGAGCTGCCTGCCAGTCCCGCGCCCTGCGCCTGCACTCCGCAGCCCTTGGGTGGTCGATGGGACTGGGCGCCTTGGAGCAGGGGGCGGTGCTCGTAGGCGAGGCTCCAGCCGCACAGGAGCCCACGGGGTTGGGGGAGGCTCAGGCATGGCGAGCTGCAGGTCCCGAGCCCTGCCCTGCGGGAAGGCAGCTAAGGCCCGGCGAGAAAATGAGCACAGCAGCTGCTGGCCCAGGTGCTAAGCTGCTCACTGCCCAGGCCGCTGGGGCCAGCCGGCGGCTCCGAGTGCGGGGTCCGCGGAGCCCACGCCCACCGGGAACTCGCGCTGCTGGCCTGCAAGCATCGCAGCGCAGCCCCTATTCCCGCCCGCGCCTCTCCCTCCACACCTCCTCCCAAGCTGAGGGAGCCAGCTCCGGCCTTGGCCAGCAGAGAAAGGGGCTCCCACAGTGCAGCGGAAGGCTGAAGGGCTCCTCAAGTGCCACCAAATGGGAGCCCAGGCGGAGGAGGCGCTGAGAGCAGAGCAAGCGAGGGCTGTGAGGACTGCCAGCACGCTGTCAACTCTCACTAGAACAGACAAGATTTTGTTTTTTTCTGCTGTAAATAAGATGTTCCAGCATAGGGAGTTACCCTCTACTCTAACACGTAAGAAAAATAACCTGAAGTCCTTGTCCCCACCTTGCAAAACCCACTATTATACTGTTTCTCAGTGGGTTTCAAGGCCAAATAAGTACATTTATGATAGTGATAGTGACGTTGATGACTAAAGTTTTGGTCAATCTTTCAAAATAGAGAAGGTGACCAAAAGGGGGGAATTGTTAAATCAAGTTTAGCCTAAACCTGCCTCCTTACATATTTTAATTTCAGCATAAAGATTTCTCTGTGCATTGTGAACTATAAAAAGTGGAGGTGTAAACCGACTGTAGCCCACACTTGTGCCAGTCACCGAGTGTTGGCAATCAAATGTAGCCAACTGTTCGGACCATGTTCAAATAAGGCAAAGGCCAACCTGTAACCAATCCAGCTGTTTCCGTACCTCGCTACCATTTACTGTATGTCACTTTCCTTTTTCTGTCCATAAATCTTCTACCACGTGGCTACAGTGGAGTCTCAGAGCCTACTCTGTCTCTGGAGGCTGCACAATTCACGAATCGTTCATTGCTCAATTAAACTCCTTTAAATTTAATTCAGCTGAAGTTTTTAAAGTACATATAAACTTTGTCTGGTAAGTTAAATTTATTTAAATATTATCAAGGGTTTTTCTTTAACTCTAATAATTCTTTTTTTTTTACCTTGAAGTCTATTTTGTAAACTATTAAAATAGCTACCTGTTTATTATTATAATTACTCTATTTCCATTCTCTTACTCTCAACATTTCTGTAGTGTATATCAAGCAAATGACATAAATGTATTTTGTTTTGGTTTGTGTTTAATCCCATCTGATATGTTTGTCTTATAACTCAAACATTTCATTCAGTAGCAATTATCATAATAACTAATATGTTTGGGTTTTAATTTGCCACTTATTTTTTGCTTTCTATATATATTCAATCTGTTATCTTTTTTTGCTCTATTTTCTTCCCTTTTGGATTATTTTTATTATGATGATTTTTTGCTTGCTGGTTTATAAGTTATATATTCTATTTTCTTTCAGGGTTACTTTACAAGTAAAAATGTTCACATTTAACTTATTAAAGTCTATTTAATTGACTTATTAATGTCAATTCTTTTACTTTCCTCCTGGAAAATACAATGGTCATAGACTCCTTTAACTCCATTGCCCCTCTAACTTCTTTATATGCTAATAGCAATTTCTCTCTACATTTTAAACATCATGATATATATACAGGTATAATTTTATACCGTCTATATTACTTACATTTTCTTACATGTTTACCATAGTGGCTTCTCTTTCTAATTTCAGAACAGCTATCTGGAATTATTTTCCTTTTGCTTGAAGTATATTTTTTAGATATTTTATAATTTTATATAGTATGGATTATCTTATAGCGAACTCAGTTTGTCCAAAATGGATTTTTGGTTATTGTTAACCTTTGGAACTTTTTTGTTTGCTTTAATGGTTTTGTTTGTTTGTTTTTGCTGTGTATAACATTCTACTTTAGAAGTCACTTTTCTTAATTATATTGTAGATGACATTACACTATCTCCTGACTTCCACTGCAGCTGTAAAAATCAGCTTTCAATGTTACATTTTTTATGTTGAAGGTAACCTATTTTATTTCTCTGATTCTAAGATATTTTGTTGTATTGTTGGTTTTCAGCAGTTTTTCTGTTATATTTCTAGGTGTGGATTTGTTTTTATTTATCTTGCTTTGGATTTTTTGGCCTCTTTGAATTTGCATATTGATATCCTCCATCAATTTTGGAGGATCATCAGCCATTATCTTTTAAAATATTGCCTGTCATACCCTCTCTTCTACACTTCTTTGATTTCAATAAAATATATATATTCAACCTTTGCATTCTATCTTCTATATCTTTTGCACTCCCTTTCTTATTTTTCATCTTTTTTCTCTCATTATTGCATTTTCGTTTGTTTCTTCTGACCCGTTTGTTGTTGTTCATTGTTGTTCTGCAGATATTTCTGAAGGTTACCTTAAATCTATTTTGGAACAAAGTGGGATAAAATACCTAGCTCTCCATATTTCCATGTTTCTCAATGACTTCCAGATTATTATATTTTTCTCTGAATTTCTATGATTGCTACTAGAAAAATAAAACAGAAAGGACAAAAAAGCAATAACATAAAATGCCAGTGTTAGCTTACTCATAGGAATAAGGATGTGAAGAAAAGCAACACAGGTCAGAAATGACAAACAGGAAAGAACAACTTGAAACATGGCAATATTATCTTACTTCATAATATAAGTAGGGCAAGAAAGTTTAAAAAAAATCAGAAAGTACCAAGAAGGAGGAAACAACTGGAAACAGAGCAATTTTATCTAATTGTGCAATGATACAGATTTTACTAAATGTTTTATAGTAATAGAGTTAGCACACTATATTAAAATGGGTGTCTTGCTTTCAAAATTGTACTCACAATTACATCTGTGATGGTTTATGTTATGCATTCCCTCATCTCTTGCCAAACACATATTGTTTGAATCATTGACCATCTGCTGCTGCCTTGTAACCACAGAAGTAAATGGGCTATAGCTTACTAAATACAGTACATAATGATATGAAACTACATTAAAACATGTAATAATGTTTTAGGAAAATGTGTTAAATTATTAGACTGGATACTGCACCCTAGTGATCAATGACATGCTTGAAGTATGTTTTCCTGAGCACTGAGGAGGAGGATATTTTTCCTCACCTTGACTTAAGCATTTTCCCCTCATATTGAAGCAAAATAGTATGGTAATAAAATATTATAATTTGGGGGCTAACTGAAATAGGCAGATTCTTAAAATCTACTGTTGACTATCCATATTATTTCACCTTTTTAAGCCCTAGCTTCTTCACTGGTAAAATGAAAATAATTTATGTACGTTATTGATTTTATTGTGTTGTCCAATTGAAAGAATACACGTAAAGCACTTAACAAGAATACTTGCCATGTAAGTGCCTCAATAATTGTAAGCTATTATTATGATGCCCTGCTGGGGCTGGCTTTTATGTAAGATATACCTGTGTAAGAGGAAAGAGAAAATGTTACTCAAGACAAAGGAGACTAGGGAGCACAAGGACTCACAAGGTGACAAATGTAAAAAAGTCCATGCATGTACAGAAATGCCACGTGCCTAGTGTTAGAACAGGACCTAGAAACACCTCACACCACCACCTGAATCTTTTCCCCAACCCAGCAGTTTCCTTCGGGTATGCATAATACTTGAGTTTCTATACAAAACAGGAATAGAAAAGAGCAGGGTATAGTAGAGTTCTTAAAAAGGGCAAGTCGGGGCTGGGCGTGGTGGCTCACGCCTGCAATCCCAGCACTTTGGGAGGCCCAGGCGGGCGGATCACGATGTCAGGAGCTTGAGACCATCCTGGCTAACACGGTGAAACCCCGTCTCTACTAAAAATACAAAAAATTAGCCAGGCGTGGTGGCGGGTGCCTATAGTCCCAGCTACTCCGGAGGCTGAGGCAGGAGAATGGCGTGAACCCAGGAGGCGGAGCTTGCAGTGATCCAAGATCACGCCACTGCACTCTAGCCTGGGGGACAGAGCGAGACTCCGTCTCAAAAAAAAAAAAAAAAAAGGCAAGTGGGTAAGATCACTTATGTTTAATATAAAACTATAAATGAGTTATTTCACTTTTTTTCTAAATCTGAAATCTACTATGAATTTTTTATTTAAAGCAGAAAGCATATCCCTAGACACACTTCAGGTGTTCACTAGTTAATGTGGCTAGTGGCTATGAGATTGAAGAGGGACAGTCTAAACAATGTATAAGAATACAACAGTCTGAGAGAATACCTCAAGAAATAAGGCAGGGTGCAGTGGCTCATGCCTATAATCTCAGCACTTTGGGAGGCCAAGGTGGGGGGCCCCTTCGAGCCCAGGAGTTAGAGACCAGCTTGAGGAACATAGTGAGACCCAGAGACTTCATCGCTACAAAAAAAGTAGCCAGGTATAATGGTGCATGCCTATAGTCCTAGCTACTCTGGAGGCTGAGGCAGGAGGATGACTTGAGGCCAAGAGTTCAAGGCTGCAGTGTGCTATGATCACGCCACTGCACTCCAGCCTGGGTGCAGAGCAAGACCCTGTCTCTAAAAATAAATAAATAATAAATAAATAAGAAAGAATTAAGCATGTTATGAGAATTATAAAAGCATCCACTAGATGGTCTTTAAAAATGGAAACTAGGTATGTCATATTTTTACTTGATCTTTTTTTTGCCTTAAATTAATGTTCCTACTAAATAGTTATCCAGTATGAAGTCTTTGTGAGAAACTTTCTTTTCATTAACCTCAGATTATGCTTTTCTTCTGAATGGGCTATTTTTTGGAAAATTATCTATTTTTATTTTTGAACAAACATTCAAGAACTAATGGAATATAGTATCCATTACATCAAAAACTACATTCATCACACTCTAAACTTAAAATGGGTGCATCTCATTACATGTAAATAATACCTTATATTTAAAAGTGCTTTGTTTAAATATAAATAAAAAATAGGAAGAATTGACACCTTTAAAATACTAATATACGGCTTTAAGAGCCTTTGTGTTTGCTGTTCCCTCTGCCTAGAACATGCTCCCTTACATCCCTGTGGTCTTCACTGAAATGTGGCCTTTATATAAAGCCTTCCTTGGCTATGTAATCTAAAATGGCAAGTCTCCCACGTTGTACCATCTTTATTTTTTATTACTTATTATTTACATTTAACATATTATACATTTTACTATTTATCTTGCATATTGTCTGTTGTTCTTTGAGAATATAATCTCTGTAAGGGCAGAATTTTTTTGTGGGTGGGGTGGGGTGGGCTGGTTGGACCACTAGTTACAACTATAGAGCCTAGAACTGTGGCTGATACTCAATATATGCCTCTTAAATTTGTGAGTGAATTCGTATATTTATTCTATCATTCTATTGTAATAATGCACTCATTTAAGAAACCTTAATTTGTGTCTTTTTAAAGATTTGTATTAGGCTCTGAAGAGTGGGGGCTTGAACGCAAATGCCTCTGGTTTAGCAGTATACAACTCACTGGCCGAATCCAGCCATCACCTGATCTTGCAAATTGTTTTACTGGAACAAAGCCACATTTGCACATTTACATATTGCTTTCACATTACAATAGTAGAGTTGAGTCATTGTGACAGAGAACATATATCCCGCAAAGCTGAGAATATTCACTATTTGGTCCTTTGTAGGAAAAAGAAAAGGGTTGCCAACGCCTGATTACCCTTGTCCTGAGGAAGACAGTTCACCTAAACCTTTAAAACCTTTCTGTTTGCAGATCAAATTTTAAAAATCCTTTATTATTGTGATAACATTCTTGGATTTACTACAGAACCAAGCTTTCAGTACATCCCCACAGAAGCCACATACTTTATGTACTATACTCTGAATGAGTACATAGTGAAACACTTCTTGTCTAAAACTACCCAGAATCAAACTAAAAGTGAATGTTAAAAACAAGTTTTAATGATTCACAGGGTAACTATCCATCTAATTTATTTAATGGGCCATGATTCATTGCTGTAACAGTACATGTAGGTATAACATTCTGAGAGATTATTCTGATTAAAAAAATGGGCAAATGACCAGAATAGACATTTTTCCAAAGAAGACATATAAATGACCAACAGACACATGAAAAGATGTTCAACATCACTAATAATGGAAATGCAAACCAAAACCACAATGAGATATCACTTCACACCTGCTAGGATGGTTGTTATCTAAAAGATTAAAGAAAGATAAATGTTGGCTAGGATGTGGAGAAACGGGTACCCTTGTACATTATCAGTGGGAATGTAAATTAGTACAACCATTATGAAAAATAATGTGGCTGTTTCTCCAAAAAATAAAGATAGAACTACCATACGATTGAGCAACCCCATTTCTGATTGTATATTCAAAGGAAATGAAGTCAATATCTTGAAGAGATATTCACACTCACAAGTTCATTGCAGCATTATTTACAATTAGCCATGATAAGAAAATGATGTTTGCTAATTTTAATGTAAAAGGAAATACCCTGGCTTTCATATTCAAACCTTCAAACTGTCAGCTGTTAAGAATATTTCTACAAGAGAATTTGAAGAGTAAATTGCTTTTGCAGGGTGATAAAGACATCACCTCATCAAATACTTACCTTCATGATTTAGCAGCTCCTATTTTGGTATTATCTCTCTCTCTTTTTCCTGTGTGTGTGTGTTTTTTTCTTATGAAAAACGTAAAAATGAATCAGTTGTTAGGCAACATGCTTAGATGAATGGTCATGGTTTACATTTAGTCAGCTGTCCATACCACTAAATGAGATAAATTATTATTCTGGAAATGGTGATGGTAGTGAATCATTTTGTTAACTGGAGCTCTGATTAAACATTGATTCAAAACTTGAACATTTATGCACGCATATACAAAACCTTTTCACCTTTCCACTTGAGAAGATACTGTGTAAAAGGAACATTTGTGGTCATTTTCAAAGGAAAGCCATATTTCTAACAAGTGATAGGAGAAACATGCAAATTCACAGATGGTATGAATCATTCAGTCTCTCTTTTTATAAACTAGTGTAAAGAATAAGCAAAGTCAGTCAAAAAAGTTACATAACTTTTTGTCTTTTTCTACTCATGAGCAACACTTACTTGAAATACTTTCAAGGATTCAGTTTTTGGAAGAGGTTTCAGATAGAAAGGGTACAGAATAAGAGAAATTTGATAGTTGTTTTGTGCCAAAATTGTTTAGCATTTTTTATTCCAGTAAAAAAAAGGACATAATATTACCAATAAAATTTTTTATGAAGTGCAACAAAAGGCAGATTAAGTAAGTTAGCATTCTAATTCTCATAAATTCTGTTCGATGTTTGTCCTTTTAATAACTGGAAAGTAAACATATTTTGCTAAATGCTATCTTATATCTATAAGACTTTAGAATTTTAATCATTAGGTTGTAATTACCAATGAAAGAATAGTTTGTCAACTCAAGGAAAAAAACTGAACATCTCTTCATCTAAAATGTACCTTCCACAAAGGAAACCCTGCCTGAAATTTGACCGTCTGAAATTCATTCTATGCCATCTGATTTATTTTATAAAGTTAATAATGTTGTCCCTCAGTTTCTCCTTATCCAGAATCATCTATTTCAGTTAGTGAAATCACTTAGCCATCCAAGCTAGAAACCTCTGTGCATGTTAAAAAATAATTTCTCCTCTACGATATACTGTATTTCCAAACTCCATTGAACATCCTTTTCTCCATCACAATTGCCATGACCACTCTAGGCCCCTTACAAATGCTCAGGTGTATTGCCATATCCCGTAACTGTTCTTGCTCTTTCCAGACTATCCCTCTCCAATACTCCATACTGCTGTCAAATCATTCATTTACAGTAGACCTGAGCAGGATATCTTAACCTAAATGAAAATTGAAAAATAAAAAACAAAAACAAAAAATAAAACACATGGCTGCTGATGTGTTTACAGAATACTAGTAAAAACTCCTCACTGGTTGAAGATGGTATGAAAAGAATATTGGTTTTATATTGTTGTTCTAGTACTTAGTAGCTGTTTACTCTTAGAGAAAAAGAAATTATTTAAACTCTTTGAGACTTAATTTCTTCAAACGGGATAGTAATACATACCCAAGAAAGTTGCTGTGTTACTAAAATGAGACAATTCATTTGAGACCGTTTAGTGGAATAGCAAATCCAAAAATCAATTTTCTTTTCTCAATATAATTCCAAATTACTTTTTATATTATATCTTGCAATACTCATCCTCTTGCAATCCAGGCTGTAACATTCCAGTTTTCCACAAACATACATACATCTTTGCTTTATTTCTTCTGCCTAGAACACCTCTCTTAGCCTTCTACATTCAGCCCACTTCTACTCATCCTTTGAGGCCCAGTTATCACTCCTGCAACAATTTCCCTAAGTTACTTGTACTCTCCAATCAGAAAAGATTCCTCTGGGCTGTCAACAGCATATTCTAGTGTTTTTACATGCTGTTTGTCAAGACTGTGAAGGGCAGGGCATGAACTTTTTACTTACAAGCTAACAGGTTAACCTGTTACAGTTTAATAATGCTGGAAAACAAGAGATTCCTGAAATAGAGGCAATAGACTTTACTCTCAGCAGACAGCATGAACTCTATGTTCATGTTGCTTCTCCTTGTTCCCAAAGTCCCATGGTGTTGCAGCAGAGGGGGTCCATCTAGATGCTGGACATGCAGTGGAATCTTTAGCTTAGGGAACCTAAATCTGTTGTAGTGGGTTGCAAGCAAACCTGCCAACCTTTGTCCTGAAGGGAAATATTATCTTGATTGTGCTGGACAATAAACAATCTATATTTTGCTCTGCAAAGTAGGCTACATCTGTCTTCAATGTCATTCACTCTGCAATTTACTGTGAAACAATAAACTAGAACAAAAGGGCTATTAGTTCTGTATGCAAGTTGTGCAGAAACATGAGAGATCCATAAAGACTTGTATCCCAACACTTTCATGAGACCTTTCCCTTTGTGTTCCACATTGGGCAGGTGGAGGAATTTGTACATGAGCAGTGTCCTATACATATGCAGGATCCCAGTGACCACAAAACTGACATCCTCTGTACATTTCAAAACAGAAAATCTCCAAAGAGGAGCAAACTAAGGTAAAAATCCAAAGTAAGGTAAGGAAAGCCTAAGTGCTGGGATAGTTTCAAATTTACATCATTTTCTCTTTAACAATGGTGATTAAATCATTCATAATTTAACTATACATTTTTGGACTTTTATAAGGCTTATAATGCAGATAAAATCACAAACCTGTAAAAAATTTATTTTTGGTTGGAAAAAGTACAGGTATCATAGATACCAAAAATTCAGGTATATTACTACTAGGAGTTGCCGCATCTTCATGGGTATCTATGGTGAGCCTAGTCCTTTATCTACATTATCTTTATTCTTCATACCAACCATAGAGGAAATTTTCATATTTCAAATTTTTGGAATGAGTGCTTAGGTGGCTTACCTCAAGTGAAAAATCTAATGAGGGAAGGACATTATGTCTTTTTTTTTTTTTTTTAACTCAGTCTATTTGGATGGTTCAAAATTCTATAAGTAAAACTTCCTCAAGAGAATTGTCTTTGGAGATTGCTTTTCCTCCATGATTACCAGCTAGGACTGTGAAACTAAGGGAAGTGGCGATAATTCTGAAAGTTGTCCCAGACTCAGGTCAGTGAGTGACTACATGAACAGTGCTAGGCAGGAGCTGCCAAATGTAGTGATAGAAGAGTTCCTAAGTCTCTCTTCACCTACCTTTCCATTTTGACCAGAGTTCATTCTAATGATGGATGTACTGGAGCAGTATTCTCCTTTCACTTCTAAGGAAGGTCAGAGCAATCATTCTTTGGCAGAAAAGACAGGGCTGCTCAGAAATGCAGACCGATTTTATAAGGATTCCTATTAGCATTTCTATTTCTCAGATTAGCATTGTCCATAAAGCCTCAGAAGGTTTTATTTAGTCATCCATTCATTTATCTTTCTATCTAGCCAACAAATACTTGTTAGCCATTGAACTGCTAAATGACTCTAGAGAATGAAGAGGTAAATCCATGTAATGAAAGGAATGTCAACTTTGAAATCAGACAGACTTTAGTTGGATTCTTGTCTCTGCTACTTACGAGATTATCTAACATCTCTGAGCTTCGGTTTCATAGGCAAAGTAAACATAGTAATACCTATCCCTAAAAATGTATAAAACTAAAGAAAAGTAAAACTATCAGCCTCAACATATGTATGTGGCGGCAGCAAGTATGTAAGTTGCCTAACAGAGGTCTGAAACCAAAATAGTGTTCCCTTCCTTTCTCACTCAGGCATTACAAGGCGTTAATGTACAATATGCTACTTGTGGAGGACCAACGTAGTTAAAAAAAGATTGGTTCCAGTTTTTGCCCATTCAGTATGATATTGGCTGCGGGTTTGTCATAAATAGCTCTTATTATTTTGAGATACATCCCATCAGTACCTAGTTTATTGAGAGTTTTTAGCATGAAGGACTGTTGAATTTTGGCAAAGGCCTTTTCTGCATCTATTGAGATAATCATATGGTTTTTATCTTTGGTTCTGTTTATATGATGGATTATGTTTATTGATTTGCGTATGTTGAACCAGCCTAGCATCCCAGGGATGAAGCCTACCTGATCGTGCTGGATAAGCTTTTTGATGTGCTGCTGGATTCGGTTTGCCGGTATTTTATTGAGGATTTTTGCATCAATATTCATCAGGGATATTGGTCTAAAATTCTCTTTTTTTTGGTGTGTCTCTGCCAGGCTTTGGTATCAGGATGATGCTGGCCTCATAAAATGAGTTAAGGAGGATTCCCTCTTTTTCTATTTATTGGAATAGTTTCAGAAGGAATGGTACCAGCTCCTCTTTGTACCTCTGGTAGAATATGGCTGTGAATCTGTCTGGTCCTGGACTTTTTTTAGTTGGTGAGCTATTAATTGTTGCCTCAATTTTAGAACCTGTTATTGGTCTATTCAGGGATTCAACTTCTAGTTGGTTTAGACTTGGGAGGGTGTATATGTCCAGGAATTTATCCATTTCTTCTAGATTTTCTAGTTTATTTGCGTAGAGGTGTTTATAGTATTCTCTGATGGTAGTTTGTATTTCTGTGGGATCAGTGGTGATATCCCCTTTATCATTTTTTATTGCATCTATTTGATTCTTCTCTCTTTTCTTCTTTATTAGTCTTGCTAGCGGCCTATTTTGTTGATCTTTTCAAGAAACCAGCTCCTGGATTCATTGATTTTTTGAAGGGTTTTTTGTGTCTCTATTTCCTTCAGTTCTGCTCTGATCTTAGTTATTTCTTGCCTTCTGCTAGCTTTTGAAATGTGTTTGCTCTTGCTTCTCTAGTTCTTTTAATTGTGATGTCAGGGTGTCAATTTTAGCTCTTTCCTGCTTTCTCTTGTGGGCATTTAGTGCTGTAATTTCCCTCTACACACTGCTTTAAATGTGTCCCAGAGATTCTGGTATGTTGTGTCTTTGTTCTCCTTGGTTTAAAGAACATCTTTATTTCTGCCTTCATTTCGTTATGTACCCAGTAGTCATTCAGGAGCAGGTTGTTCAGTTTCCATGTATTGTGAGGTTTTGAGTGAGTTTCTTAATCCTGAGTTCTAGTTTGATTGCATTGTGGTCTGAGAGACAGTTTGTTATAATTTCTGTTCTTTTACATTTGCTGAGGAGTACTTTACCTCCAACTATGTGGTCAATTTTGGAATAGGTGTGATGTGGTGCTGAGAAGAATGTACATTCTGTTGATTTGGGGTGGAGAGTTCCGCAGATGTCTGTTAGGTCTGCTTGGTGCACGGCTGAGTTCAATTCCTGAATATCCTTGCTAACTTTCTGTCTTGTTGATCTGCCTAACATTGACAGGGGGGTGTTAAAGTCTCCCATTATTATTGTGTGGGAGTCTAAGTCTCTTTGTAGGTCTCTAAGGACTTGCTTTATGAATCTGGGTGCTCCTGAATTGGGTGCATATACATTTTGAAAACTGGCACAAGACAGGGATGCCCTCTCTCACCACTCCTATTCAACATAGTGTTGGAAGTTCTGGCCAGGGCAATCAGGCAAGAGAAAGAAATAAAGGGTATTCACTTAGGAAAAGAAGAAGTCAAATTCTCCCTGTTTGCAGATGACATGATTGTATACTTAGAAAACCCCATCATCTCAGCCCAAAATCTCCTTAAGCTGATAAGCAACTTCAGCAAAGTCTCAGGATACAAAGTGAATGTGCAAAAATCACAAGTATTCCTATACACCAATAACAGACAAACAGAGAGCCAAATCATGAATGAATTCACATTCACAATTGCTTCAAAGAGAATAAAATACCTAGGGATCATACTTACAAGGGATGGGAAGCACCTCTTCAAGGAGAACTACAAACCACTGTTCAACGAAATAAAAGAGGACACAAACAAATGGAAGAACATTCCATACTCGTGCATAGGAAGAATCAATATTGTGAAAATGGCCACACTGCCCAAGGTAATTTATAGATTCAATGTCATCCCTATCAATCTACCAATGACTTTCTTCACAGAATTGGAAAAAACTACTTTAAAGTTCATATGGAACCAAAAAACAGCCTGCATTGCCAAGGAAATTCCAAGCCAAAAGAACAAACTGGGAGGCATCACGCTACCTGACTTCAAACTATACTACAAGGCTACAGTAACCAAAACAGCATGGTACTGGTACCAAAACAGAGATATCGACCAATGGAATAGAACACAGCCCTCAGAAATAATACCACACATCTACAACCATCTGATCTTTGACAAAGCTGACAAAAACAAGAAATGGGGAAAGGATCCCCTATTTAATAAATGGTGCTGGCAAAACTGGCTAGCCATATGTAGAAAGCTGAAACTGGATCCCTTCCTTACACCTTAGACAAAAATTAATTCAAGGTGGATTAAAGACTTAAATATTAGACCTAAAAGCATAAAAACCCTAAGAAAACCTAGACAATACCATTCAGGCCATAGGCATGGGCAAGGACTTCATGTCTAAAACACCAAAAGCAATGGCAACAAAAGCCAAAATTGACAAATGGTATCTAATTCAACTAAAGAGCTTCTGCACAGCAGAAGACACTACCATCAGAGTGAACAGGCAACCTACAGAATGGGAGAAAATTTTTACAATCTACCCATCTGACAAAGGGCTAATATCCAGAATCTGCAAAGAGCTTAAACAAATTTACAAGAAAAAAATCAAACAACCCCATCAAAAAGTGGGCAAAGGATATGAACAGCCACTTCTCGAAAGAAGACATCTATGCAGCCAAAAGACACATGAAAAAATGCTCATTATCACTGGCCATAAGAGAAATGCAAATCAAAACCACAATGAGATACCATCTCACACCAGTTAGAATGGCGATCATTAAAAAGTCAGGAAACAACAGATGCTGGAGAGGATGTGGAGAAATAGGAACACTTTTACACTGTTGGTGAGACCGTAAACTAGTTCAACCATTGTGGAAGACAGTGTGGCCATTCCTCAAGGACCTAGAACTAGAAATACCATTTGGCCCAGCCATCCCATTACTGGGCATATACCCAAAGGATTATAAATCATGCTGCTATAAAGACACATGCACACATATGTTTATTGCAGCACTATTCACAATAGCAAAGACTTGGAACCAACCCAAATGTCCATCAATGATAGACTGGATTAAGAAAATGTGGCACATATATACCATGGAATATTATGCAGCCATAAAAAATGATGAGTTCATGTCCTTTGTAGGGACATGGATGAAGCTAGAAACCATCAATCTGAGCAAACTATCGCAAGGACAGAAAACCAAACACCACATGTTCTTACTCATAGGTGAGAATTGAACAATGAGAACACTTGGACACAGGGTGGGGAACATCACACACCAGGGCCTGTCATGGGGTAGGGGAGGGGGGAGGGATAGCATTTGGAGATATACCTAATGTAAATGATGAGTTAACAGGTGCAGCACACCAGCATGGCACATGTATACGTATGTAACAAACCTGCACATTGTGCACATGTACCCTAGAACTTAAAGTATAATAATAATAAAAAAAAATTAGGACAAGTAACTTAGCTTCAGAAAAAAAAAAAGAAAAGATTGGTCTCAGACAACTAAAATATTTAGTTTTAGATGTAGCTGATTACATACTGGATACGGGTTTTGGGTCAGAAATGAAGCTAATTTCCCGCCTAGTAATGCCATCAATGGAAAAGTATAACATCCTTATGTCCAGTTCTACTTTTCTAAAGGAAATTCAAAGTTTGTCTGAGAAATTAATAAAGTTGGACTATTTGTTTGCTGCTGTTAGATGAGGTTGGGTGCTCAACAGCATGCTCCTTCATGGTTGAAAGAAACTGCTGATAGTACATATGTTCCTGGCTTCAGTAGTGGTACAGGAGGGACGTCAACTGATGTGTTTGCATCGGTCGATACTGGGAAAAATTTCCAGACAAGAACATTTTGAACATAGTAGGGCTTTCTTTTTCACACACTCCCAGTTCAGTTGATGATGAGTCTTGGGTAAAATGAAAACACTGAAATTTGTAGTACAGTTTTGATGCAAAAAAAGAAAATTACCTTATTTTTAATTTTTCTTATGTAGAGACAGAGTCTCACTGTGTCCCCCAGGCTGGAGTCCATTGGTGCAGTCCTAGCTCACTGTAACCTAACCCCTGTGCTCAAGCCATCCTCCTGCCTCAATCTCCCAAGTAGCTGGATCTATAGGTACATGCCACCAGACCCAGTCCAGAAAAGAAAATGCTTCTGATTTTTGAATTTTTAATATGTGTGAAATCTGACATCCTGGTATCTCCTGTTCTATTCCTACTCTCACCCTTAAAACAAATATTTACTGACTAGTAATGTGAAATGCTGTAAGCTGCAACATTGCAGTTACTGATACCAATGGAATTCACTGAAGAGATTAATGCATTCTAAATGTCTTGATTTTTACTTAAAAAAAACACCATTAAGGAGCTTACCATCTACTTGAGAGGAAAATAGATAATAATGAAAATAGATGAAAAATATTCTTCAGGCCATAAAATGGAGAGAGAGTTGTTCCACTGGGAGTATAAAGAGCTAACTTTCAGTCCACAAGATTGAGAATTTCATTATTATGAACTAGTCTTTCCTAAATCAATAGTAATAGCCCACATGGATCTCCTTCCCTCTACCTAGTTTAATTGACCCCTCTTGTTTTCCACATTGGCTTCAGTGTAATTAGAGGAAGAGGAAAAATTCAGCTGGAAATCAGAAAAGCACACTTTTTACCCTTTCCAGAAAAGAAAGTATTTACATCAGTGCTCCACTCAAGTCTCTACCCTTTGGTTTTGCCCAGTCTGTCTGTGGTATTTGCCTAACCTTTCTTGGAAAACCCTTTTGGTAATGTCCCCTTGAAAACCATAGCTTGAGTGAAAGCCACAAGGAGCCTGCAAATCTGCAAACCACAGCTCACCTCATGACTTCGAATCTCTATCAAGTGTCCCCAGTTTACCCTGAAGGCAGTGCAAGTCCTCTCAAAGTTAGACAGCCTATCTGTACTTTCACATTAGTGAATATCAATGATTTATTTCTCAATTCTTCTTCTTTTTGCTCCAGGATCTTTCCTTATTGAGGTAGCGATTTTTTTTTTTTTTTCAGATTTTATTTTGAAGGAATTATAGATTCACAGGTAGTTGCAGTCTACTTTTACCCAGTTTTCCTTAGTTGTTCCATCTTTCCTAGTTACATTATAATATCAAAATCCGGAATTTGTTATTGGTTCAATGTATGTGTATAGAGGCAGTGTTTTTTTTTTGTTTGTTTGTTTGTTTGTTTTGCATTCCTTACTGCTTTTTACAAAAGTACTTCCTCTAGTACTCACAATTTCTTACTGTAGTTAATTCCTAAATTGGGCTGACAGTGTGCAGAAGCCACAGTTATGCCAAATATACTCTGTGCCAATTTTCCTGTAGGCACAAGCTTTCCAAAATAAACATGTCCCCAACATCAGGAATCTTTTTTATGTAAACTCTGGCAAGACAGTTACAACATCCACAGTACATGTAGAAAATGTGAGTTGTTTAGGAAAATCTCAAAATAAGATATTTGGTAACCCTATTTTAATTATCATAGCCAATAACTAAATACATAATAATGTTACTTTACTTCATTATGGTTAATTTTTTTGTGGAAGTTAACTTTATTTGCAGTTAACAAAGTTACTGTATATCCACTTTCTCAGTTACATTATGTTAAAAATGTTATACGTTTTTTTCTACATCACAAACATGCAACTATGACCTAGAGACAGTGAAGAAAATGAGTGGAATGAGGGAGAAGACATTCTCCCCCATCACTGCCATGATTAGGTTTTTCTACTCCAAAGTAAGAGTTATCAGTTCTACTTTAATCTGAATATAAGCAGTCTGGTTAAAAATTCAAGTGGTGTTTAAGGAAACTACTTTCTCCTTCCCACTTTTCACAAACTATAATATCAATTTTTGATCTAGGAGTAAAATTTTCAGAATCTAGGTGAGCTCTGAATTTGAATATATAGAAGTCCTAGCCCCTGATGTGATGGTGCAAATTTTAGCCCTTGAACATGGGGATTAGGAATGTCAACAGTCCCTGTAGTTGAAAATTAATTTGTAACTTCTGACTCCCCCAAAACTTAATCACTATTAGTCTACTGTTAAACAGAAGCCTCATCAATAATAGAAACAGTTGATTAACACGTATTTTATGTTATATGTATTATATACTGTATTCTTACAATAAAGTAAGCTAGAGAAAAGAGAATGTTAATAAAAAATTATATGGAAGAGAAAATATATTTACTATTCATTAAGTGGAAGTGCATCATCATAAAGTTCTTCATCCTCATCATTATCCCATTAAAAAGGCTGAGGAAAGAAGAAAGAGGAGGGGTTGGTCTTGCTGTCTCATGAGTGACAGAGGTAGAGGAGATAGAAAGGGAAGCAGGAGAGACAGGCACACTCAGTGTAACTTTATGAAAATATCAGTCTGGATTTTTTTGCTTTTTCATTTCTCTAAATATATTTCTGTATGGTACCAACCCTTCTTCCATTGTTTGCTTTAGTTTCAGTGCCCATATCATGGAAGGGGCCATGTTGTGAAATAAGACGGAAGCAGTATCACATAACCAGAACCCTTCTACCAGATTGTCTACTGTCAATTTGTTTCCTGATACTGTTTCTTCGATATCTTCTTCCTCATCATCTGGCACTGGCTTGGAAGTACTCATCTCCAGCTACTAGCTGGAGATTCACCTTCTGTTAACTGCTCTGGTGTGGTGTCTGTTAGCTCTTGAATTTCCCTAAGATCCATATCTTAAACTCTTCACCTCCCAACTTTTTTTTTTCCTTATCCACAATCTCTTTCATGATTTCCTTGATTGGCTTTGTCATAAATCCTGTGAAATCATGCACAACCTCTGACACAGTTTTCTCTAGCAGGAATTTGTTGTTTCTGGCTTGATGGGTTTCATGGCTTTTGCTATAACAATAATGGCATCTTCAAATGTGTGATCCTTCCAGACTTTCATGATGTTCTCCATATTGGGATTCTCTTCCACAGCACTGACAATCCTTTCCATAGAGTACTGTGTGTAATGAGCCTTACAGGTCTTTGAGGTCTCCTGATCTAGAGACTGAATTAGAGACCTTGTATTTGGGAGCATGTAACCCACTTCAACACCCTTGATGCTGAACTCATGGGGCTCTGTGAGGCCAAGGGCATTTTCCAATATTAAAAGAACTTTAAGACAGTCCTTTACTGGCAAGGTGCTTCCTGACTTCAGGGACAAAGCATCAGTGGAAACAATCCAGAAAAAGGATTCTCTGTTCAGGCCTTCTTGTTGTACAACCAAAAGACTGGCAACTGGTGTTTATCTTTTCCCTTCAAGACTCAGGGGTTAGTAGCTTTATAGATAAAAACAGTCCTGATCATAAACCTGACTGGATTTGCACAAAACAGTGCAGTTAGCCTATCCCATCTTGCCTTAAATCCTGATGCTTGCCTTTCTTTCTTACCAATAAATGTTCTCTGTGGCATTTTTTTCCCCAGAATAAGACACTATGGTCTGCATTAAAAATGTATTTGGGCCTATACCTTTTCTCTTCAGTGATTTTCTTAATAGCAACTTGTTTGCTGCTTCATAGTTGGCAGAAACTGTTCCTCTTGTTATCT
Source organism: Homo sapiens (assembly GCF_000001405.40). Classification (NCBI taxonomy): domain Eukaryota; kingdom Metazoa; phylum Chordata; class Mammalia; order Primates; family Hominidae; genus Homo; species Homo sapiens. The sequence continues at coordinate 110,912,388 of NC_000005.10, forward strand.
TGACATTATTTAAGCCAAATCTCTTTCTAAAATGATCAAACCATCCATTGCTTGCATTAAATTCTCCAGCTTTAGATCCTTCATATTCCTTTTGCTTGAAGTTGTCATATAATGACATTGCTTTTTCTTGAATTGTATTAAGGTCTATAGGTATATCTTTCTCATAGTAATCCTGAACCCGCATAAAAGCTGCATTTTCAATATGAAACAAAAAGGTATTTCACACTTTCCGTGTAAGTCAGAAGTGAAAAAAAGAAGTACTTCACAAAAAGCACAAGATTTTCACACCTGTTGGTGCAGCTTCAGCAAAAGCTTCACAATTTTCCCTTTTTGTTACAATGGTCCTTACTCCACATATTGGCCTGCTCTTGTGTTGCTATAAAGAAATACCTGAGGCTGATAATTTATAAAGAAAAGAAGTTTAACAGGGTCACGGTTTTGCAGGCTGTACAAGCATAGATCCAGCATCTGCTCCTGGGGAGGACCTCAAGAATCTTCCAATCTTGGCAGAAGGGAAGGGGGAACCAGCATGTCACATGGCCATAGTGGGAGCAAAAGAGGGGAGGGGAGGTGCCACACTCTTTTAAACAACCAGATCTTGGGTGAACTTAGAGCAAAGATTCACTCATTATCACAAGGACAGCAACAAGCCATTCATGAGGGATCCATTCAGTAATGCAAACACCTCCTGCCAAGCCCCATCTCCAACATTGGGGTTTATGTTTCAACATGGAATTTGGAGAGGACAAACATCCAAACTATATCACCCTGGATTCATTTTCATTGAAACAGTGGGCAACTGCAGCTGCAGATCTCAATTTATGGTGAATATCAAGCAATTCAACTTTTCCTTGTAATGTCATGACTTTGCTTATTGGGAGCACTTTCAGCATCACTAGTAGCACTTCATATGGATCCCATGGTTTTATTTAAATTTTGTGGTGTTGTACTAACCATGATGAAAAATACATAAGAACTGCAAGAAAGAACTTTTTACTGCAATACAAAATTTACTGGAAAGACAGCTGCTCCTGTGGAGATGATTAGAGTGTTTTACAAGGATGCTTGCAACACTTGAGCTCACAGTAATAGCAACAGGAGGAAGCTACAAAATTGTCACAGTAATACAACAGGTACTATAGTTAATTTTATGCAGTTATTCTTTAATACCGCATCTTCACCTATCTTGGCATTTCTCTTGACTGCAAATGGTACTTTGTATGGTCTGTGTTTATAAGCTTTGACAACTTTCAACTTTTTTATTTTGTGATAGAAATGAGAAAATAGACTAGTATCTACATCTATTTACACATTCATAAGATATCTAACTTTTTCTTAATTTTTTTAATATTTCTAGTCTACAAAGTTCATCTTCAAGTTTTTTCAAGGCTTTATTTTCTTCAGAGAACATTGAATAGGAATATTTCTTGTAATCCTATTCTCAAACTACAGTGATTTAGGGGCCATTTTAATTTGTGTCATGATATAAGTTACTAATTCTGATATCAAGATGAGTACCTCTCTATTCTTTTTTTTTTTTTTTTTTTTTTTTTTTTTGAGACAGGGTTTCACTCAGACACCCAGGCTGGAGTGCAGCGATCCCATCTCTGCTCACTGTAACCTCTGCCTCCTGGGCTCAAGTGATCCTCCCACCTCAGCCTCCCAAGTCGCTGGGACTACAGGAGTGCACCACTACACCTGGCTTTTTTTTTTTTTTTTTTGTATCTTTTGTTGGGACAGGGTTTTGCCATGTTACCCATGCTGGTCTCGAACTCCTGAGCTAAGGTAATCTGTTCATCTCAGCCTCCAAAAGTGGTGGGGCTCCAGGTGTGAGCCACTGCACCTGCCCCTCTGTATTCTTTCGTGGCTAGGAAACCAAAAGAATTGTGACTATCGTAGGCATCAGTAAGCGTTGTGTTTTTTCTTTTTCAACTTTTATTTTAGGTTCTAAGGGTGCATGTGCAGGTTCATTATATGGGTAAATTGTGAGTCTCTGGGGTTTGGTATACAAATTATTTAGTCACCTAGGTAGTGAGCATAGTATCTGATAGGTTCAAGTAGTCCCCATTGTCTATTATTCCCCTTTTTGTGTCTATGTGTATTCAATGTTTAGCTTCCACTTATAAATGAGAACGTGAGGTATTTGATTTTCTGTTCCTGCATTAATTTGCTTAAGATAATGGCTCCCAACTCCATCCACGTTACTGCAAAGGATATAATTTTATTCTTTTTTATGGCTGCATAGTACCCCATGGTGTATACGTACCACCTTTAAAAAAAATCCAGTCCAGTGTTCGTAAAGCATGAAGCACTCTTTATCTGAAAAAATTATTTATATGAACATATGATTTCTCAATAATGTCAAATGGATAACTTGTTTCTATATTATTAACATTGAACAAGCGGAGGAAAATGTATCTTTCTCATCCTGTGCTATTTCTCATTAAGATTTAAATTATAAGAGGTAGGTTTATATGTTTTTCAACATTCAACAATTTTTTAATGTACCATTACATTAAATAAGAAAATATGCTTGGGATTTTAAAAAAGGAAAAACTGAAGAAAATGGCTCTGCCAGTAATTTTGTGGCATTATGTCTTATTCATTCTGTGGTTCAGTTTCTCAGTTTGTGAAACATGAACAGTAATAGTATCTATCCCATAGGGTCATTGTGAGAACTAAATTAATTTTAAAATAAGGCATGTAGAACTATGCCTAGCACTTATATGTGTTAACTATTATAATGTGGTAACTATTATTAACACTTATATGTGTTAACTATTATTAATGATGATGATTATATCCTCTTTTGAAAATGTGAAATACCAACAACTAAAATATCAGGTATTTAGAAGACAAGAAATAAAAGTAGCAGGTTATAAAATATTTAGAAGTAAGTTCCAGGTGCGGCGAGATCTGAAGTTTATATAATTGGGAGAAGCTTTTATAAGGAAATAGGAAAAAGGTTTTACAAGGAAGTAGGAGAAGCTTTTATAAGGAAAATAAATTTATAACAAAATTACAAATATAAAGTTAAGATTGATGGCTTCTCATATCAGCACTGCTTAGAAAAAAAAAGAGAAAAAAAGCAAAAATAGATACATACCTCAGTAGGAAAATAGCCAAAAAGTTGCACATTCATATACTAGCATACCAGATAGTCATTAAAGATAATGATAAATGTACTAACATGAGAAGGGATGTGGGGTATATTATTAAGTGGGAAAAGCAAAATTAGTTATGGCAGGCATGGTAGTTGCCTATCAGTAACTATTGCTTCAGTTTTTCTTACAAAGAAACCTCTGATCTTATTCAGGAAGACAATGTGCTCAGCTTTAAAAAAAATTGTGGTTTAGACGCCTTTGCACCTTGGTGGGGCCAAGTGGCAGTATTCTGACTGATGGGTTGTGAGGGGTCATCACTGCTCTTTGTCCTTTCCACTCTTCCTCCGTGGAAGGTGAAAAAATGCTGGTGATATAGCAGCTATTTGGGGTCCTAAGGTAACAAACGTATGAGTAAAAGTAACAATTAATGGTAAAATTGGAAAGATATAAAGAATCTGGGTCTCTCTTGGCATTGTGGATCTCCTACCAGTCTTCGGCTTATTATTTCATAAAGATAAGTGCTCCTTGGGTTATTTATTTTTTATACAGCTGAAAGTAAATTGTGACTGATACACATGTAGTCTAATCTATGTATAATGTATATTAGAATAATGTAATATAGGCAAACAGAGACATCCATGTAAAATGGACTGAAAGGATAACCAGCAAACTCAGAAGTGTGGTTGCCCTGGAAAGGAAAGCAGTCATAAGAGGGAAATGCTCTCATTTTGTTTAGTGTTTTTTTTAGATTTGAATCTTTTCCAGTGAATATATTTATATCATTTTAAACAACAAAAAGGAGAGCATTTTTAATACCATTCTTATTTTGTGTGTGTGTGTGTGTGTGTGTGTGTGTGTGTGTGTGTGTGGTGTGAGATAGGACATTTTGTCTTTCACGTTGTATTGGGAAAAACAGGTGAACAAGTTTGGAAATTCAGGCTATAACCTTTATGTGATTTTAAATTTAGCTACTCACACTAAAAATATTCCCTTAATCTTTTTTATCTTCAACTCATTACCATTGCAAAATCCTCTAAGCATGCATACTCTCGTACTGAGTCACCTGCTGCAGTCTGCAAAGCTCTGATCACTGTGGTTTGTGTTTAGGGCCGTCTGTAGAGGATTTTTTAGGGCCGTCTGTAGAGGATTAGGGCCATCTGTAGAGGTTTGTGTTTAGGGCCGTCTGCAGGGTCTGGGAAACATCACACTCTGTACTCTTCTCCAACATTTTCATTAAGAATAAATATTTGTGAATCATTATCAAGAACAGCATTCAAGGGGAAAACCAGGCTAAATGACACAGTGTAAATAAGAGGTTTGTACAGAAATGGGTACTAAGTTTTAGAAGCAAGCAGACAGCCCCAAGTTTGAATTGGAATGCCTTAAGTCATTTTGAGAGTAGTTAACATCTCTCTCTATGGATAGCTATACAGTTGCTGCAGCTTAGTCTCAACAGAAACACAGGCTATGAAGACAGTCTACTTTTGTTTTTTAAAAAAATGCTGTCTTTTCGAATTATTCTCCTTTAGTCAATATTTCAATAAACACATATTGAATACCTGTAATGCCCCAGGCACTGGACTCAAATTTGGGTGAAGAGCATGGCACGAAGAGAGGGGGATGCAGTCTAATAACTCTTGAGATCCATTTCTCCCTGTGTCTTCCCAGGACACGGGGAGTTGGCATATTTAGTGGTCAGATAGGAAGTCATTAGTCAAAAAAAAAAAAGAAGTAAGAGAATGTAAAAGAAGCAAACAGATACCAAGAGTCGGAAACAGGCTAAGGATCAAAAGCAGAAACATCCGTTCAAGCCAAAGTAAACTCAGGGCATTCCTTCTATCCACCCATCTATTCAAATAACACTAACAGAAAGCTTGCTAAGTACAGGCATCATGATAGCTGTTGTGGAGAATTCACAGATATGAAAAACCATAGATCCTGTCCTTAAAGGATTTACAGACTAATGGACTAATGAGGAGGATAAGTATAATCAAATAATTCTGTCACAGATCAGCCAGCATTCATTAAGTGTCATAAGAGAAGTTCAATCAAGGGCCAAGAACCCCACTGGAGTGGGACACTATTTTTGGCTGGGCAATCAGAGAAGCCCTGTCAGGAGAGGTTTGAAAAACGAGAATGACTTTGACAGGACCAAATGGAGAAAGAAGCAGGAGAAGGGCATTGTAGACTGTGACACTGGCAGAAACAAGAATAAAAAGCATTCGAGTTGAAGGCAGGGGAACCCAGTGCGCTACAAACAGTGAGAAGTCCACTGACTCAGAAACAAGCTTTTCAGATGATGTTCAACAGATCTTGCAGGAGGAGGTTATCTCTTGATCCAGGCCATCCTATGGCAGTGTCTTTATCTGATCTGTAACTTGGATTTCTACTTAAGTTTTTATTTGGAAAAAAACGAAGCTCTGTTTACTAAAAATATTTTAAAACCTGAAAACCACTAAGAGCATCAATGGGTTAACATAAGAAATGATAGAAATGTGCTCAGAAGAATGTCTGGGCAGACCTTGAAGGCATTAAATGACCAGGGGAATTTCTTTTTTACCGAGGGCGATGGTGGGGTCTCTGGGAAACCTTTAAAGAAGAAATTAACACTAGAAAAAAAATGAATTATGAAATGACTGTTGCACATCGGGTCAGAAAGGAGCAGAGACTGCAGTCACAGACAGTGATCAAAAGGAGATGGCAGAAGTTCAGGGAAAATATTAAGGGCCTGCGTGAGGGTACAGAGAGAAGGGACAAGGGAAAAAGGAATTGTCAAAGGACATTTAGAAAGAGGATTTACCAGTCCTTGTAATTGCATAAATAAGTGAGAGGTAAGTTAATGACTTAGATCTCCTTTAATGTTTGTTTAATATTTATATTTGTGAGTGATATACAGACATACACATTTTAATAGACTTCAATTTTCAGACCACTTTTAGATGTAGAGAAAAAATTCAAAGATAGGACAGAGAGCTTCCATATACTCTTCACTGAGTTTCTCCTATTCACATTTAACATTAGCATGGTACATTTGTTACAATTAATAAACCAATATTGATATATTACTGTTATTAGCTAAATTTCATACTTTATTCCTATTTTCTTAGTTTCTACCTCTTTTTCTGTTGTAGGATTTTATCCAGGATACCACATTACATTAAGTCATCAGGTCCCCTTAGGCTGTGACAGTTTCTCAGACTTTACTTCTTTTTGGTGACCTTAACAGTTTTGAGGATTATTGGTCAGTTATTTTGTAGAATGGCCATCTATTGGGACTTATCTGATGTTTTTCTCATGATTAAACTGGGGTTATGGGTTTTGGAAGGAAAACCACAGAGGTATTGTGCTATTTTTATTATATCACGTCAGGGGTACATGCTATCAATGTGACTTTCCACTGTTGATGTTGACCTTCATGACCTGGTTGAAGCAATATTTGTCAGGTGCCTCCACTGCAAAGTTACCCCTTTTTCCCTTTTCATGCTGTATTCTCTAGAATGTGGACACAAACATTTTTTTAAAGAAATGCTTTCCTCAATTCAGCTCCAGTCCCTTACATGGATACTTCATTTAGCAATAAACTTTACAGTTTTTTCAGTCCACAAGACTTAGAAGTCACTTCAGCAAACATCTGTTGTGACTTGAGCATGCCCTTGGGGGTCTCGCTCTTGAGCATTTTATGAAATACCCCTTTCAGCCATAAGGAGTGTGCTCCCCAAGGACTTCAAAGACATGCAGTTTCTCTCCATCATTTTTCACCTTTCCAGTTCTGCCATGTTTCTGTGACAGCTGAGTATCCTCTGTAGAGTGACTCCCAGGAATGCATGGCTGGGCACACAAGTAGACCCTTCCTAGAGGCCTGTCCCTCCCACCCTTGCACCACACCTTCACTCTGATGCCTCACAGAACTGCTGACGTCCCAGCTAGAGGCCCACCTCTCAGTGCCAGGGTGTGGCCAAGTCCCCACTGCCACCCTGTCTTGTGGACCATAGGATCTCTCCACCATCATGGTTTTTGGCCGCAGCTGAATTTGGAGTGGACTAAATCAAGTTAAATCAATTTCCTCTCTTCTGCTGTGCCCTGGGAATTGTAGGGTTTATTCCTCTTGCCACTCTTGCAGCAAACTGGTTCCATTTCTTTCTGCCTTGTTAACCATCCATCCTCACTCATTGACACATTTTTCTCTTCTCTACAAGATATTATTGATACCCTTTTAACGCCTTGTCAGGAAACTTGTGAGGAGCAATATCAAATTATTTTCTGTTTCTTTGAATTTCCTCAGAACTCGGCCAAAGCTGTTTGGCCCCTCCTCCTCTTCATCCCTTAATAGTCACATGCATGCAGTAAATCCTACAGAACAGCCATAAGGTCCCAAAGCCCAGGATCAGTGGAAATGGCCTCTGGATTAATCAAGTAATAATTTTCAGGGGAATAAAGTATGTTTGTATGCTGGCCCTCCTTAAAAAAACATTGTTCATTAAAATCTGACATCTCTGTGGCTGAACTGAATGTATGAGCCTCACCCTCACCCCTCTAGCAACTTGATATTGAGAACAAACAATTAACCTCTTGTGTGCAGATAATGCTTTTATGGTCTCAGTCTGTGTGTGGTCTTAGCAAATAGTTGGCCCTTTTATCTAATGATTGTCTCCAGAGAAAAATATAATTGTATTTTGTTTGACTAAATCACTGGTTAAACTTTTCAGTTTTTGGATTATGGATAATAATCTCATGTTATCGAATCACTTTGGCATACATAGTAATTTCCAGGTTATTGTTGAACACATATTATAAGCAGTAATGTTCTTAAGTATCCTTTAGGTGTTTTATGGTGAACATATGGGCTGAATTTGCAACCATGCTATGTGAAATCTTCTGCTTCTGTCAGATATGAACCTCTGTGGCTCACCTAAATCTGCAAGATTCTATATGTACCCTATGGTTGGGAAGTCCTCATATCTCACGTGTCCAAAACAGGATGAAATAAGGATTTCCTGCGTTCTGAGAATCTTAGTGGTTTATGGGAGTGACATGGGATCTAAATTGACCCCTTCCTGCTAATTTGTCCTTCTGCATTTTAAGAAAAGCATATCTGAGATCATGTTCAGCCTATTTCTGGGGACTTTAAAAATAGCATACCAAGTGTATAAGGAAGTAGCAGTTTTTTACATTTGGGTGTTAAACATAAGCAAGTTTTCGAATTTATTTTCATACCTATTATCAACATATAGCTTTTACCCATTCATTCAGTCCAGATAATTTCAGAGAATTTTAGAAACATTTTGTTAACTGTAGAACGTTAGTTAGGTAATATAGCTTTATGAAAAATATCCAAAATACTTTTTATTTTTTCAGTAGGGTTTTCTTTGCCTTGTGAGCAAAACATAAATGTCTAAAGTTGATAAAACTTTTTTAAAAGTTTATACTTAAGGAATTAGACATATTCATGTGTCTTGTTGAAATATTCAATTTAATTTTTCTTTCAGATAGTTTTAGGTTTAAAACGTAATTTCTCTGAAGTTTAATGTCGAAGGCTCACAATTGGGTTATGTTCGAATCACTCCTGGCAGGATTTCTAGATAAGCCTCTTGATTCTCTTGATTTATTGTAACTCCATGTTACCTTTGCCTTGTCCTTGAAATTTCCAGCTCCTTGTAAACTAATATTATTTTACAGTGAAACTGAAAGAGGTTTAAAGACAATGATTTTTTACTAAATTTTATTTTGAATTAATTTTACGTTTGCAGAATTGCAACAGTAGTTCTCATATATAATTCACTCAACTTCTACATTACATAGCCATGATGTATTTATCAAAGCTAAGAAATCAATGTTAATACAGTACTATAAACTAAACTTCAGACTCTATTCTGATTTTGCCACCTTTCCCCCCTAATGTCCCTTGTCTATCCCAGGATGCAATTCAGAACCGCCCACTACGTTTAGGTGCCACATCTTCTTAGTCTCTTCTCACCAAATAGAGTTTCTTGGTCTTTCCTTGTCTTTCACACAATTTTGAGGAGTTCTGACCAGGTATTTTGTAGACTATCCCTCACTCTGTGTTTGATGTTTCCCCATGATTAAACTGAGGTTGTGGATTGAGGGAAGAAGACCATAGTGCTCTTCTCGTTATATCATTTCAGGAAGTACGTGATATGGACATGACTCATTACAGGTGATATTAACTTTAATCACTTGATTAAGGTGGTGGGTGCCCAGTTTTCTCCATTCTATAGCTACTATCTTTCTTTTTCCATATTCTATTTATTAAAGGAAAGTCACTCAATCCAATATGCTCTCAAGGGAAGGAAAATTAACTCCACCTCTTGGAGAAAGCAGTATCAAAGAATTTGTGGACATTATTAAAACTTCGTAGGAGGTACTTTAAGGCTGTGCAAATATCCTGTTTCTCCTTAAAACTGTGCTTTCTAACATTAGCTTCAGCTGTGGATTTTGCCTGCTGCAATTATTCCAATGGTGTTCTAATGGTGATTTTCTATTCCCCTCTACATTTACTAAGTAGAATTCTTCTGTAAGGAAAAATCTGTTCCTTCTTCCCCACTTATTCATTATTTATTTATATATTCAATCACAAATTTATATAAATAAGGACTCTGTGAGGTTTATTTTATCTTCTGGGTTATAATTCTGTGTCATTTTTATATATTACATTGCTCAAGTTTTTCCAGCTTTGGCCATTCCAGCCATTTCATAATGGCTCCTGTGTCCTCTTGATGTACCCTTACTTTTCCTTTTTCCTTTTCTTTCAGCACTGCTTTACTTTCTGGCACTATAAGATGCTCCAGGATCATCTTATATTTTCCCTGTCCCAGATTAAAGTCAGCCATTTTTCTAGGGGGTCTTGGCTTCTTTTATTGGAGAACGACATATAGAAACTATAATCTAAGCTTTTGGTGTTTTTGTTGTTACTAGAGTGTGTCACTTTTTAAGGCCCTCTTAATAGAGAGACCTAGGAAATTTATGCATGTATACCAACCCATATATACACACATATCTATGCTTATATAGTTACACGTTAATATGCATATATTTATATAACTGTGTATCTGTTAAAATAAATGAGTTCATTCCGACATCTCCAACTCTAATGCAGCACCAGAGGGTTCATTCTAGCCCTCCCCTGCACCTCTCCAGCTTATTGTAACTTCTTTCTCTGGCAGTGAGAAACCTGGCTCTCATTATCTACAATACATTTGTTTGTTTGTTTATTCCGTATACAAATTAAGTAGTTTCCAAATTTCCAACACATACTACTGTAAAAAACAAATATACCAACTAGAGTACTGTGTTTGTAAGGAATTCTTTTTCTGTCTTTAGCTATATAGTATTTAGTCCAAACACTATTTTCCAAAGATTTTTAGGTTGGCCCCTTTGTTCCTCTGCCCTTGCTGTGAAATTATGTCATATATTAAAAATATAGTTAAATTCATTTGTCACAGACCGGGTTCTTACAAAGTATTGGTTGATTTTTTTTTAATTCTATAAAGTTCCCTCTTTAAGGTATACACTTCTATAGGTTTTGACAAATGCATAGATTAATGTATCCACCACGGCAGTGCCATATAGATTAGGTCCCTCATGCTAAAAATCCCCTGTGTGTTTGGAGCCCACCATTTTCAAATATCATCTGATAGTACAAGCCTTGTTCTTAGACAGAGTTCTAATAGTAGCTTGAAGCTCAAAAAGCTGTACAGTAGCAAACATGCTTCACAAGAGTAAAATAAACAGAAAAATGAAGAACAAACATATTTCACAAAAATAATGGCCGAGTTTACCTGAAAATGAACTAAGATTCCACTGATAAGATTGTGTTGACATGTTTCTTGTTGGCCTGTGCAGTGGAGAATGCTCTAAATAGGACCTCAGGTGGTATATACACATTCAGGGAACTGCCAGAGATAACAATTTTGATCCACAGCTTTCCAAATTAATGTATACCTGATTGAAGTCTGGGAAGCTGATTCATAAAACCTAACTTCTTAATCCTCTTTTGTTCCCACATTCTTATTGTCTAGATTCAGCTGCTTCTCATAACTGGGTTCCCTCAGGCAACTATCTCCTAACTGTAAACCCCCTTCCCATATACTCTCCAAATTTATCTTTTGAAAATGCTAATCTGATTATATTTTTCCCTAAATTAAAAACTCATGCTAGTTTGCCATCAGGATGATCTGCACACTCCTTTACATGGCCCACATATCATTCCCACCTGACACTTCTAGTCAAATCTGTGCACCTTGCAAAGCCACTCTGAACACACAGAACTCTTTCCCACCCCCCACATGATCTGCTTCCTCCTCTATGTCTCCCCCTTTTTCTTCTCTCTTTGAAAGCACTAACCCATCCTTCAAAACCCAATCAAATTCCACTTCCTCTGGAATCTTTCACCACTTCTCAAGTGAATTCAATTCTTTCCTTCTTTCTGTACATCCAGGGTTTTTTTTTTTAATACCATGTCATGTTGTTTGTATTTGTTTATATTTGTCTTTTTGCAAAGTTTGAGCTTCTTGAAGGAAGGATACTGCCCCGCACCTTTGGTACTATCCCTAAGACCTAGAAAGTGCATGGCTTATTAGCTGGTATTTGGTAGATATTTGTGGTGTGAGTGAATGGTTGTTAGGCTAGAATGTGAATTTAGACAATCATACCAATGCCAAAAATAAATTGGCAGAACTGCCTGGAAGGCTTTCATGGGCCTGCTAGTTCATTTTCTTCCCTTAGGTTTCTTGTTAAATCAGATAAATGAGAACTGGATGATCATGGGATAGAATATTAAGGCATAAAAGTCAGCTCCATTGCAAAAGTATATCTAACAAGAAGTCCAGAAACACAGTAGTCACTCAGAGATGCTCTCTGTTGCATCATTCTGCAACTTATGGTATATTATATACCATTGAACTAGCTTATAATTACTTTTAGCATTATTTTCTTTTAATCTGAGATCAAAGGTAGAAGATATCTTAGTCTAATCAGCCACATATTAAAATCATCTATTAGAATGTGTTATTTTAGAGAAGATTTTAGCAATGGCTTACCTTGAACATTTCAAGTCAGGCTAATTGAAACAAAAGATCATATTTTCTTACCTTGTCTCGGTTAATTTCGGTCTTCTAGAAAGCTGCAGTCTCTTCCTCATACACATTTTTTTCTATTTGTGAGTTAAATAAATGAACATTTATTAATGTTAAATAAATTCAACATTAATTGAATGTTTAAATTATTCCCACTAAATTTGACTTTATTTCAGTCAAGTGTTTCAGCCTACATAGAGCCCTTTGGATTCCAATACTTTCATGAATCCTATTAAGATTCCTTTCATAGCTTTGTATCACTGCATATTTGATTCCAAATATCTGATTTCTATATCTTCTTCTAAACTGTTGATAAAAATTTTGAGAAGCATAGAGAAAACAATAAAGCCTTATGGAATATACCTAAAGATGTTTCTCAAATCATTTTGGAGCATTATTTAAACTGGTATAACTGCATAACCAGTAATGAACTCATCTGAATCAGCAATCCCCAAAGGGTAGAGAAATTGTGTTGTTTCAAGGATTGCCCACAGGTGCACACATAAGTCTCAGCAAGAAGTGGGAGCATGTGTGAATTTTAGAACTCCGAAAGTGATTCTGATCTATAACCTCTACCTACCAGTCTCCCACCAATTCAGTAAGACCTTCATGTCCATAGTAATTGTTCAGAAAAATGTAAGTCCTCACACTTTTATCAGTTAAACTATGTAAATGAACAATTTTTTTAAGTTAAAAAACTTCATATTATTTCTGGGTCACAAATACTGCCTGAGATACATGTTCCTATGGACATGGCATTCCACACTCTATAAATTTTAAATTTTAAACATATATTCAGTCACGTGTACATGTCCAATGCTAACAGGTTTCTATGTTCTCTTGTGCACTGGACACAATATCCTTAGAGTGCCTAGGTTTGGAGAGCAACTCAGGGACTCCAGAGAGAGGCTTCAGCTTTAAAAAAGAGGCCTATTGGGCGGCCGACTTTGCAGGGGGAGAAATCTACTAGCACAAAAGGAAAATGAAGAATACCATGATTCATCCTGTGATTTCAACACAGAGAGATAATGTATTTTCCTGGCTCTAGCTCTTCTGAAATGATTTGGGACTAAGTGCAATATCACCACTGCTTCCTACAGAAACTGTTACACACCAAAGAAAAAAAGTTTTACATGAGAAAATGACACTATCTGAGGCTAAATTAAAACATAAATTGTGATACATTTAAAAATCAGTAAATATTTTTTAATGCACCACGTAGAATCTGTTTTTCAAGGTTTGGAGACATTCAGTGTGAGGCAGGAAATTCACCCTGGAGCTTCTCCATCCTACTTCTGATCCTCAACAAACACACACTAATGGGAGAACCACATTATTTTCTTGTCCAATTCGATTTCATCAACAACCCCTAAAATTCAAGACAAAAAGCAAATACTGCTCTTTGCTATGGCTATACATTATCAAAAAAGAAGATACCCCCATGCTGGTGGGTCTTCCTGGGTGACTGTGGGCAATACCTTGGCAGTGATGTAACTTTGAGCCCCTTTCACTCAGCCTTAGCAAGAGCACAGAGTAACCCTGGCTTATCCTGCTTCCTGTGCTATTTTTTCCTAGGAGTTATTTTTAGCCAGTTATTACTTTTGAATACTGTTATGTTAAAAAATGTTACTGCCTTCTGAATAGGGCCCCCCAAAGTAGTCTAAACATCCATAAACTCATCAAATCTTCCAACACCTAATGAAAAAAGTCACCAACATAACTGGTTTATGATATCTTTTGCATTATTGCTTGTGTAATATTTAAATTTTCATGTATATTAACTTTGTCTCTAGACAAAATTGGACTAACTCTTTGGATTAGAGACCATACATTATACTCATCTTAGAGCCACAACCACAATGGCTTCTAGCAGAGCAATATAATACTATTTGATAACTATTTTTTAGGAATGAGCCAATTAATTAATACTACCCATTGGTTTTATTTAGTAGTTGTCTCCATATCTCCCACATCCTGAATATTCACTTTTTCCCATGTGTATGACCTGAGACAGATAAGAGGATAAACAAGTGGGATCTGCAGAAGGCTGTGGGTCTTATACATGTGACTGCAAAAATACTCACAGTACTCCCTTTTATATCCTCATCCCCTCCCTACAACATGGGCCTCTATGTGGGGTCATTGTACTCAGGTTGAGTAGCGAGGTAAACATTTATTTAAGGAAGCTATGAATAGGCCTCAAGATTAGAGAGATAGATAGTACACTCTGCCCAAATTGATCTTCAGGTGAATTTACATATTAGATAAATATTTCACTTTTTTTAAGAAAAATTTTAAACGTTTATTGTGCATACAAAATAACAATTCATGAACCAGGAGAATTCAACCCAAGGTGATAAGAAGCTCCACTCACAGCAATTATAACATAGTTTATAAAACATAAAGGAGGAAGTATTTGACCTTTTCTGTGGCTGGCTATTTTTATCATTTTGTTAAGGCAACCAGAACTCTTCAAGCTGATTGTCTATAGCTGATGGTTTAATTTCACTGACCCATGCTGAAAAGGACATAAAGCTTGTGTTTATGATTTTGTGTTTTGTTTATGCTTAGAGCTAGTATTTCTGGGAAATCAGGATGATGTAAGTTTTGGCTGTGTGGTTACAGGTGTTTGGCTTTGGGGTATAGCTACACTGTGGTCTCCATTTTTGTTTTTTATTAATGATATATAGAGTGTTAAAAATTAAAACTTGGAAAATTTTAAAATATCAATGTTTTACAATAATAATAAACCTATTTGATTAACATAAATAGCACATTTTAGGAAAAATAACTATATTTTTCCAAACAAAAAATATCTGAGAAGAGCAGCATTGTTTTATATATCATAACTGTCTTTAGAGTCTAGCTTAATAGATAGTGGCTGGATTCTCATATCTACTTCTGCATTCAATCTAGTTTTTGTTTATTTCCAGCTTTTAAGTTCAGGGGTACATGTGCAGGATGTGCAGGTTTGTTACATAGGTAAACTTGTGCCATGGTGGTTTGCTGTGCGGATCATCCCATCACCTAGGTATTAAGTCCAGCATTTATTAGCTATTCTTCCAATGCTCTTCCTTCTGTCACCCACCCACTCTCTGACAGGCCCCAGTGTGTGTTGTTCCCCTCCATGTGTCCATGTGTTCTCATCATTTAGCTCCCACTTATCAGTGAGAACACGTGGTGTTTGGTTTTCTGTTCCCGTGTTAGTTTTCTGAGGATAATGACCTCCAGCTCCATCCATGTCCCTGCAAAGGACATGATCTCGTTTCTTTTTATGGCTGCACTGTATTCCATGGTGTATATCCACCACATTTTCTTTGTCCAGTCTATCAGTGATGAGCATTTAGGTTGATTCCATGTCTTTGCTATTGTGAATAGTGTTGCAATGAACATACACATGCATGGATCTTTGTAATAGAAGAATTTATATTCCTTTGATTATCTATCCAGTAATGGGATTGCTGGGTAGAATAGTATTTCTGCCCATAGGTCTCAGAGCAATCGCCACACTGTCTTCCACAATGGTTGAACTAATTTACACTCCCACCACCAGTATAAAAACATTCCTTTTTCTCCACAACCTGGCCAGCATCTATGGTTTTTTGACTTTTTAATAATAGCCATTCTAACTGCTATGAGATGGTATCTCATTGGGTTTTTCATTTACATTTTTCTAATGATCAGTGATGTTGAGCTTTTTTTCATGTAATTATTGGCCGTATGTATGTCTTCTTTTGAGAAATGTCTGTTCATGTCCTTTGCCCACTTTTTAAAGGGGTTGGTTTTTCTATGTGAATTTAAGCTGCTTATAAATGCTGAATAATAGACCTTTGTCAGATGGATAGATTACAAAGATTTTCTTCCATTCTCTAGGTTGTCTGTTTACTCTGATGATAGTTTGTTTTGCAGTACAGAAGCTCTTTTGTTTAATTGAATCCCACTTTTCAATTTTTGCTTTTGTTGCAATTACTTTTGGCATTTTTGTCATAAAATCTTTGCCACATCTACCCTTTGAGTGGCATTGCCTAAGTTTTCTTCTAGGATTTTTATAGTTTTGCATTTTACATTTAAATCTTTAGCGCACCTTGAGTTGATTTTTGTGTAAGGTGTAAGGAAGTGGCCCAGTTTCAATTTTCTGCAAATGTGTAGTCAGTTCTTTCAGCATCATTTATTAAACAGGGAATCCTTTTCCCATTGCTTGTTTTTGTCAGGTTTGTTGAAGATCAAATGGTTGCACATGTGTGATCTCATTTCTGAGTTCTCTATTCTGCTCCATTGGTCTATGTGTCTGTTCCTGTACCAGTACCACGCTGTTTTGGTTACTGTAGCCCTGTAGTATAGTTTGAGGTCAGGTAGCGTGATGCCTCCAGCTTTGTGCTTTTCACTTAGGAATACTTTGGCTATTTGGGCTCTTTTATGGTTCCATATGAATTTTAGAATAGTTTTATCCAATTCTGTGAAATATGTCTGAGACTTTGCTAAAGTTACTTATCAGCTTAAGAAGCTTTTGGGCTGAGACAATGAGGTTTTCTAAATACAGGATCATGTCATCTGCAAACAAAGATAGTTTGACTTCTTCTCTTCCTATTTGAATACGTTGTTTTGTTTCTTTCTTTCTTTTTTTTTTTTTTTTTTTTTTTTTGAGATGGAGTCTTGCTCTGTTGCCCAGGCTGGACTGCAGTAGCACAGTCTCAGCTCACTGCAACCTCCACCTCCTGGGTTCAAGCGATTCTCCTGCCTCAACCTCCTGAGTAGCTGGGATTACAGGTGTGCACCACCATGCCCAGCTAATTTTGGTATTTTTAGCAGAGATGGGGTTTCACCATGTTGGTCAGGCTGGTCTTGAACTCCTGACCTCAGGTGATCCACCCACCTCAGCCTCCCAAAGTGCTGGGATTACAGGCGTGAGCCACCGCGCCCAGACTGAATGCCTTGTTTTCTTTTTCTTGTCTGATTCCTCTGGCCAGAACTTCCAATAATATGTTGAATAAGAGTGGTAAGAGAGGGCATCCTTGTCTTGTGCTGGTTTTGAAGAGGAATGTTTCCAGCTTTTGCCCATTCAGTATATTGTTGGCTGTGGGTTTGCTCTTATAATTTTGATGTATGTTCCTTCAATACCTAGCTTATTGAGAGTTTTTAACATGAAAGAATATTGAATTTTATCAAAGACCTTTTCTGCATTTATTGAGATAATCATGTGGCTTTTGTCTTTAGTTCTGTTTATGTGATTAATCATATTTATTGATTTGCATATGTTTAACCAACCTTGCATCGTAGGGATGAGGCCTACTTGATCATGTTGGATAACCCTTTTGATGTGCTGCTGGATTCAGTTTGCCACTATTTTTTTTTTTTGTTATTATACTTTAAGTTCTGGGATACATTTGCAGAATGTGCAGGTTTGTTACATAGGTATGCATATGCCGTGACAGTTTGCTGCACTCATCAACCCATCATCTACATTAGGTATTTCTCCTAATGCTATCCCTCCCCTAACCCCACCCCCCACCCTCTGACAGGCCCCGGTGTGTGATGTTCCCCCTCACTGTGTCCATGTGTTCTCATTGTTCAACTCCCACTTAAGAGTGAGAACATGCAGTGTCTGGTTTTCTGTTCCTGTGTTAGTTTGCTGAAAATGGTGGTTTCCAGCTTCACTATTTTGTTGAGAATATTTGCATCAATGTTCATCAAGGATATTGGCCTGAAGTTTTCCTTTTTTGCTGTATCTCTGCCAGGTTTTTGTATCAGGATGATGCTGGCCTCATAGAATGAGTTAGGGAGGAGTCCCTCTTCCTCAATTTTTTGGAATAGTTTTAGTACCAATGGTACCATCTCTTCTTTGTATCTCTTGTAGAATTCAGCTGTGAATCCATCTGGTCCTGGGATTTTTGTTGTTGTTGTTGGTAAGCTATTTATTACTGCCTCAATTTTGGAACTCATTGTTGGTCTATTCATGGATTCAGTTTCTCCCTGGTTCAATCTTGGGAGGTTGTATGTGTCCAGGAATTTATCCATTTCTTTTAGGTTTTCTAGTTTATGTCCATAGAGGTGTTTATAGTATTCTCTTATGGTTGTTTGTATTTCTGTGGGCTCAGTGGTGTATCCCCCTTATCATCTCCGATTGTGTATACTTGAATCTTATCTCTTTTCTTTTTCATTAGTCTAGCTAGTGGTCTATTTTATTTATTTATTTTTTCAAAAAACCAGCTTCTGGATTCATTAACTTTTTGAAGGGTTTTTTTTGTCTCTATCTTCTTCAGTTCAGCTCTAATCTTGGTTATTTCTTGTCTTCTGTTAGCTCTGAGGTTTGTTTGCTTTTGCTTCTCTAGTTCTTTTGGTTGTGATATTAGGTTGTAAACTTGAGATCTTTCTAGCTTTTTGATGTGGGTATTTAGTGCTGTAAATTTCCCACTTAATACTGCTTTAGCTGCATCCCAGAGATTCTGGTAAAGTTCTCCTTAGTTTCAAAGAATTTTTTATTTCTGCCTTAATTTTTTTATTTACCCAAAAGTCATTCAGGAGCAGTTTGTTCAATTTCCATGCAGTTGTATTGTTTTGAATGAATTGTTTAATCTTGAGTTCTAATTTGTGCTGTGGTCCGAGAGACAGTTATTAATTCAGTTCTTTTGCATTTGCTGAGGAATATTTTACTTCCAATTATGTGATGAATTTTAGAGTAAGTGTCATGTGGCAATGAGAAGAATGTATATTCAGTTGTTTTTGGTTGGAGAGTTCTGTAGATATATATCAGGTCCACTTGATCCAGAGCTGAGTTCAGGTCCTGAGTAGCTTTGTTAATTTTTTGTCTCAAAGATCTGTCTAATATTGTCAATGGGATGTTAAAAACCTCCCATTATTATTGTGTGAGAGTCTAAGTCTCTCTGAAGGTCTAAGAACTTGCTTTATGAATCTGGGTGCTTCTGTGTTGAGTGCACATATATTTAGGATAGTTAGCTCTTCTTATTGAATTGAACCCTTTACCACTGTGTAATGCCCTTCTTTGTCTTTTCAAATTTGTGTTGGCTTAAAGTCTGTTTTGTCAGAAACTAGGATTGTAATCCCTGCTTTTTTCTGTTTTTCATTTGCTTGGTAAATGTTCCTACATCCCTTTATTTTGAGCTTATATGTGTTTTGGCATGTGAGATGGGTCTCTTGAAGACAGTATACCAATTGGTCTTGGTTCTTTATCTAGCTTTCCATTCTGTGTGTTTTAATTGGGACATTTAGCCAGTTTACATTTAAGGTTCATATTGTTGTGTGTGAGTTTGGTCCTGTTATCGTGATGCTGACTTGTTATTTTGCAGGCTTGTTTATGTGGTTGCTTAATAGTGTTGCTGGTCTGTGTGTTTTTGTAGTGGATGGTAATGGTTTTTCCTTTCCATATTTAGTGCTTCCTTCAGGATCACTTGTAAGGCCAGTCTGGTGGTAACAAATTCCCTCAGCATTTGCTTGTCTGAATAGGATATTATCTCTTCTTCACTTATGAAGCTTAGTTTGGCCAGATGTGAAATTCTGGGTTGGAAATTCTTTTCCTTAAGAATGAATATTGGCCCCCAATCTCTTCTGGCTTCTAGGGTTTCTGCTGAGAGCTCCACTGTTAATCTGATGGGCTTCCCTTTGTAGGTGACCTGGCCTTTCTCTCTGGTTCCCCTTAACGTTTTTATTTTCATTTAAACCTTGGAGAATCTGTTGATTATCTGTCTTAAGGATGATCTTCTCATGGAGTATATCTTACTGGGGTTCTCTGCATTTCCTGAATTTGAATGTTAGCCTGTCTTTCTAGGTTGGAGAAGTTCTCCTGGATAATATCCAGAAGTATGTTTTCCAAATTGGTTCCATTCTCCCTCTTTCAGGTACTATAGTCAATCATAGATTTGGTCTCTTTACATAATCCTGTATTTCTCAGTTTTTGCTCATTCATTTTCCCTTTTCTCAATTCTGTCTGCCTGTCTTATTTCAGAAAGTCTTCAAGGCTCTGTGATTATTTCTCCACTTGGTCTACTCTTGCTATTAGTACTTATGATTGCATTGTGAAGTTCTTGTAGTATTTTTTCATCTAAATCAGGTCAGTTATGTTCCTCTCTAAACTGGGTATTTTGGCTGTCAGCTCTTATATTGTTTTATCATAATTCTTAGTTTCTTCGCATTGGTTTACAACATGCTCCTTTAGCTCAGTGAAGTTCATTCTTATCCACATTCTGAAGCCTACTTCTGTCACTTCAACCATCTCAGCCTCAGCCCAGTTCTGAGCCCTTGCTGGAGAGGTATTGTGGTCATTTTGAGGAAAAGGGGCTCTTTGGCTTTTTGAGTTTTCAGTGTTTTTGCTTTCTATCTTTGTGAGCTTATCTACCTTTGTTCTTTCAGGTTGCTGACTTTTGGATGGGTTTTTTTGGTTTGTTTTCTGTTTCTTTTTCTTTTAACAGTCTGTTCACTCATCTATAGAGCTGCTGTGGTTTGCTGGGCATCTACTCCAGTCCCTAGTCACCAGTTTTTTTTTTGGTACCTGAGAGTTATCACCAGGGAAGGCTGTGAAACAGCAAAGATGACAGACTGCCTCGTCCTCTGGAAGCTCCATCCCAATGGGGTACTGACCTGTTGCCAGCCTGTATGCACCTATAGAAGGTGGCTGGAGAACCTGGTTGGAAGGTCTCACCCAGTCAGGAGAAACAGGACCAGGGATTCACTTAAAGAAGAAGTCTGGCTGCTTTTTGGTATAGCAGCTGTGCTAATGTCATAGCCTGCCCCACCCCCCAAGCACTCCATCCTGGGGAGAAATTAGAGTTCTGTCAGCCATAGAACACAGGTGGGGATGGCTGGAGTTCCCAGCTGGAAGACCCTCCACACAAGGAAGAGGGGAATGGATTCCCACTTAAAGAAGCAGTATGGCCATGCCTTGAAAAAACAGTCATGTAGTGCTGAGGAACTGCATCTGCCCATGTCAGCTTGAACTCTCCAAAGCCTGCAGGCTGGAAGAGCTGAGTCATCCCACCAACCAAGGTGGCACCCATCTGCTCTCCTGGGCACTCCATCCCAGGGACAGAGCAGATACATGCAGGTGAGGGTGGCTGGAAGGCTTGGCTGGGAGGTCCTGCCCAGAGAGCAGAAATGGATTGGGGACCCCTTAAAGAAGTAGTCTGGCCATGATCTGGCAAAGCACCCATGCTACACTGGGAGGACCCTTCCTCGTCCAGTTTGGACTCTCCAAAGCCCACAGGCTGGAACAGCTGAGCTAACCAAACCACTGAGATGGCAGCCTGCCCCTCCCTGCAGAGGCTTCATCCCAGAGAGAGATCAGAGCTCTGTCTCTTGAGAATGTGTAGGGATGACTGGAGGCCCCCAGCTGGGAGGTCTCACCCAGTGAGAAGAAATGGATCAGGATCTCACTTAAAGAAGCAGTCTCGATAGAAGCCAAGATGGCCGAATAGGAACAGCTCCAGTCTACAGTTCCCAGGGTGAGCAACGCAGAAGATGAATGATTTCTGCACTTCCAACTAAGGTACCAGATTCATCTCACTGAGGATTGTCAGACAGTGGGTGCAGGACAGTGGGTGCAGCGCACCAAGCCTGAGCCGAAGCAGGGTGAGGCATCGCCTCACCCAGGAAGTGCAAGGGGTCAGGGAATTCCCTTTCCTAGCCAATGAAAGGGATGACAGACAGCACCTGGAAAATCGGTCACTCCCACCCTAATACTGCACTTTTCCAATGGTCTTAGCAAACGGCACACCAGGAGATTGTATCCTGCGCCTGACTCAGAGGGTCCTATGCCCATGGAGCCTTGCTCATTGCTAGCACAGCAGTCTGAGATCAAACTGCAAGCTGGCAGTGAGGCTGAGGGAGGGGTGCCCGCCATTGCCATGGCTTGAGTAGGTAAACAAAGTGGCCAGGAAGCTCGAACTGAGTGGAGCCCACCGCAGCTCAAGGAGGCCCGCCTGCCTCTGTAGACTTCACCTCTGGGGGCATGGCATAGCCAAACAAAAGGCAGCAGAAACCGATGCAGACTTAAATGTCCCTGTCTGACAGCTTTGAAGAGAGTAGAGGTTCTCCCAGCAAGCAGCTTGAGATCTGAGAATGGACAGACTGCCACCTCAAGTGGGTCCCTGACCCCTGAGTAGCCTAACTGGGAGGCACCCCCACAGCAGGGGCAGACTGACACCTCACATGGCCGGGTACTCCTCTGAGACAAAACTTCCAGAGGAACGATCAGGCAGCAACATCTGCTGTTCACCAATATCTGCTGTTCTGCAGCCTCCACTGCTGATACCCAGGCAAACAGGGTCTGCGTTGGATCTCCGGCAAACTCCAACAGACCTGCAGCTAAGGGTCCTGACTGTTAGAAGGAAAACTAACAAACAGAAAGGACATGCACACCAAAATAATATCTGTATGTCACCATCATCAAAGACCAAAGGTAGATAAACGATAAAGATGGGGAAAAAACAAAGCAGAAAAACTGAAAATTCTAAAATCAGAGCACCTCTCCTCCTCCAAAGGAATGCAGCTCCTCACCAGCAACGGAACAAAGCTGGATGGAGAATGACTTTGATGAATTGAGAGAAGAAGGCTTCAGACTATCAAACTACTCCGAGCTAAAGGAGGAAGTTTGAACCCATGGCAAAGAAGATAAAAACCTTGAAAAAAGATTAGACGAATGGCTAACTAGAATAACCAATGCAGAGAAGTGCTTAAAGGACCTGATGGAGCTGAAAACCATGGCACGAGAACTACGTGATGAACGCACAAGCCTCAGTAGCTGACTCAATCAACTGGAAGAAAGGGTATCAGTGATGGAAGATGAAATCAATGAAATGAAGCAAGAAGAGAAGTTTAGAGAAAAAAGAATAACAAGAAATGACAAAGCCTCCAAGAAATATGGGACTATGTGAAAAGACCAAATCTACGTCTCATTGGTGTACCTGAAAGTGACGGGGAGAATGGAACCAAGCTGGAAAACACTCTGCAGGATATTATCCAGGAGAATTTCCCCAATCTAGCAAGGCAGGCCAACATTCAGATTCAGGAAACACAGAGAATGCCACAAAGATACTCCTCGAGAAGAGCAACTCCAAAGACACATAACTGTCAGATTCACCAAAGATGAAACGAAGGAAAAAATGTTAAGGGCAACCAGAGAGAAAGGTCGGGTTACCCACAAAGGGAAGCCCATCAGACTTACAGCTGATCTCTTGGCAGAAACTCTACAAGCCAGAAGAGAGTAGGGGCCAATATTCAACATTCTTAAAGAAAAGAATTTTCCACCCGGAATTTCATATCCAGCCAAACTAAGCTTCATAAGTGAAGGAGAAATAAAATACTTTACAAACAAGCAAATGCTGAGAGATTATGTCACCACCTGGCCTGTCCTAAAAGAGCTCCTGAAGGAAGCACTAAACATGGAAAGGAACAACCGGTACCAGCCACTGCAAAAACATGCCAAATTGTAAAGACCGTCAAGGCTAGGAAGAAACTGCATCAACTAACGAGCAAAATAACCAGCTAACATCATAATGACGGGATCAAATTCACATATAACAATATTAACATTAAATGTAAATGGGCTAAATGCTCCAATTAAAAGACAGACTGGCAAATTGGATAAAGAGTCAAGACCCATCAGTGTGCTGTATTCAGGAAACCCATCTCATGTACAGAGACACACATAGGCTCAAAATAAATGGATGGAGGAAGATCTACCAAGCAAATGGAAAACAAAAAAAGGCAGGGGTTGCAATCCTAATCTCTGATAAAACAGACTTTAAAGCAACAAAAATCAAAAGAGACAAAGAAGGCCGTTACATAATGGTAAAGGGATCAATTCAACAAGAAGAGCTAACTATCCTAAATATATATGCACCCAATACAGGAGCACCCAGATTCATAAAGCAAGTCCTTAGAGACCTACAAAGAGACTTAGACTCCCACACAATAATAATGGGAGACTTTAACATCCCACTGTCAACATTAGACAGATCAATGAGGCAGAAAGTTTACAAGGATATCCAGGAATTGAACTCAGCTCTGCACCAAGCAGACCTAATAGACATCTACAGAACTCTCCACCCCAAATCAACAGAATATACATTCTTTTCAGCACCACACCACAGTTATTCCAAAATTGACCACATTGTTGGAAGTAAAGCACTCCTCAGCAAATGTAAAAGAACAGAAATTATAACAAACTGTCTCTCAGACCACAGTGTAATCAAACTAGAACTCAGGATTAAGAAACTCACTCAAAACCACTCAACTACATGGAAACTGAACAACCTGCTCCTGAATGACTACTGGGTACATAACGAAATGAAGGCAGAAATAAAGATGTTCTTTGAAACCAACGAGAACAAAGACACAACATACCAGAATCTCTGGGACACATTCAAAGCAGTGTGTAGAGGGAAATTTATAGCAATAAATGCCCACAAGAGGAAGCAGGAAAGATCTAAAATTGACACCCTAACATCACAATTAAAAGAACTAGAGAAGCAAGAGCAAACACATTCAAAAGCTAGCAGAAGGCAAGAAATAACTAAGAGCAGAGCAGAACTGAAGGAAATAGAGACACAAAAAAACCCTTCAAAAAATCCATGAATCCAGGAGCTGGTTTTTTGAAAGGATGAACAAAATAGATAGACTGCTAGCAAGACTAATAAAGAAGAAAAGAGAGAAGAATCAAATAGACACAATAAAAAATGATAAAGGGGATATCACCACTGATCCCACAGAAATACAAACTACCATCAGAGAATACTGTAAACACCTCTATGCAAATAAACTAGAAAATCTAGAAGAAATGGATAAATTCCTCAACACATACACCCTCCCAAGACTAAACCAGGAAGAATTTGAATCTCTGAATAGACCAATAACAGGCTCTGAAATTGAGGCAAATAATTAATAGCTTACCAACTAAAAAAAGGCCAGGACCAGATGGATTCACAGCCAAATTCTACCAGAGGTACAAAGAGGAGCTGGTACCATTCCTTCTGAAACTATTTCAATCAATAGAAAAAGAGGGAATCCTCCCTAACTCATTTTATGAGGCCAGCATCATCCTGATACCAAAGCCTGGCAGAGACACAACAAAAAAAGAGAATTTTAGACCAACATCCCTGGTGAACATTCATGCAAAAATCCTCAATAAAATACTGGCAAACCGAATCTGGCAGCACATCAAAAAGCCTATCCACCATGATCAAGTGGGCTTCATCCGTGGGATGCAAGGCTGGTTCAACATACACAAATCAATAAATGTAATCCAGCATATAAACAGAACCAAAGACAAAAACCACATGGTTATCTCAATAGATGCAGAAAAGGCCTCTGGCAAAATTCAACAACCCTTCATGCTAAAAATTGTCAATAAATTAGGTATTGATGGGACGTATCTCAAAATAATAAGAGCTATCTATGACAAACCCACAGCCAATATCATACTGAATGGGCAAAAACTGGAAGCATTCCCTTTGAAAACTGGCACGAGACAGGGATGCCCTCTCTCACCACTCCTATTCAACATAGTGTTGGAAGTTCTAGCCAGAGCAATCAGGCAGGAGAAGGAAATAAAGGGTATTCAATTAGGAAAAGAGGAAGTCAAATTGTCCCTGTTTGCAGATGACATGACTGTATATCTAGAAAACCCCATTGTCTCAGCCCAAAATCTCCTTAAGCTGGTAAGCAACTTCAGCAAAGTCTCAGGATACAAAATCAATGTGCAAAAATCACAAGCATTCTTATACACCAATAACAGAACAGAGAGCCAAATCATGAGTGAAATCCCATTCACAATTGCTTCAAAGAGAATAAAATACCTAGGAATCCAACTTACAAGGGATGTGAAGGACCTCTTCAAGGAGAACTACAAACCACTGCTCAATGAAATAAAAGAGGATACAAACAAATGGAAGAACATTCCATGCTCATGGGTAGGAAGAATCAATATCATGAAAATGGCCACACTGCCCAAGGTAATTTATAGATTCAATGTCATTCCCATTAAGCTACCAATGACTTTCTTCACAGA
The DNA here is from genome assembly GCF_000001405.40 of Homo sapiens. Classification (NCBI taxonomy): domain Eukaryota; kingdom Metazoa; phylum Chordata; class Mammalia; order Primates; family Hominidae; genus Homo; species Homo sapiens. The sequence goes on from NC_000005.10 coordinate 110,938,601, forward strand.
ATGGAAAAAACTACTTTAAAGTTCATACGGAACCAAAAAAGAGCCCGCATTGCCAAGTCAATCCTAAGCCAAAAGAACAAAGCCGGAGGCATCATGCTACCTGACTTCAACCCATACTACAAGGCTACAGTAACCGAAACAGCATGGTACTGGTACCAAAACAGAGATATAGACCAATGAAACAGAACAGAGTACTCAGAAATAATGCCGCATATCTACAACCATCTGATCTTTGACAAACCTGACAAAAACAAGCACTGGGGAAAGGATTCCCTATTTAATAAATGGTGCTGGCAAAACTGGCTAGCCATATGTAGAAAGCTGAAACTGGATCCCTTCCTTACACCTTATACAAAAATTAATTCAAGATGGATTAAAGACTTAAATGTTAGACCTAAAACCATAAAAACCCTCGAAGAAAACCTAGGCAATACCATTCAGGACATAGGCATGCGCAAGGACTTCGTGTCTAAAACACCAAAAGTAATGGCAATAAAAGCCAAAATTGACAAATGGGATCTAATTAAACTAAAGAGCTTCTGCACAGCAAAAGAAACTACCATCAGAGTGAACAGGCAACCTACAGAATGGGAGAAAGTTTTTGCAACCTACTCATCTGACAAAGGGCTAATATCCAGAATCTACAATGAACTCAAACAAATTTACAAGAAAAAAAACTAACAACCCCATCAAAAAGTGGGCAAAGGACATGAACAGACACTTCTCAAAAGAAGACATTTATGCAGCCAAAAAACACATGAAGAAATGCTCATCATCACTGGCCATCAGAGAAATGCAAATCAAAACCACAATGAGATACCATCTCCCACCAGTTAGAATGGCAATCACTAAAAAGTCAGGAAACAACAGGTCCTGGAGAAATAGGAACACTTTTACACTGTTGGTGGGACTGTAAACTAGTTCAACCATTGTGGAAGTCAGCATGGCGATTCCTCAGAGATCTAGAGCTAGAAATACCATTTGACCCAGCCATCCCATTACTGGGCATATACCCAAAGGATTATAAATCATGCTGCCATAAAGACACATGCACACGTATGTTTATTGCAGCACTACTCACAATAGCAAAGACTTGGAACCAACCCAAATGTCCAACAATGATAGACTGGATTAAGAAAATGTGGCACATATACACCATGAAATACTATGCAGCCAGAAAAAATGATGAGTTCATGTCCTTTGTAGGGACATGGATGAAGCTGGAAACCATCATTCTCAGGTAACTATCGCAAGGACAAAAAACCGAACACCACGTGTTCTCACTCATAGGTTGGAATTGAACAATGAGAATACATGGACATAGGAAGGGGAACATCACACACCGGGGCCTGTTGTGGGGTGGGGGGAGGGGGGAGGGATAGCATTAGGAGATATACCTAATGGTAAATGACGAGTTAATGGGTGCAGCACACCAACATGTCACATGTATACATATGTAACAAACCTGCACATTGTGCACATGTACCCTAAAACGTAAAGTATAATTAAAAAAAAAAAAAAATCAGTCTCCCCATGATCTTGCAAAGCAGCTGTCCTGTGCTGAGAGGACCATTCCTCGTCCAGACAGTTTGGACTTTCCAAAGTCCACAGGCTGGAACAACTGAGTTGACCAAACAGCAGACATGTGGCCCACCCCTTCTCCCAGGGACTTCATCCAGTCTCAGGCCGACTTCACTCTCTTGATAGTGGCTGGCTGGAATTCCAAGCCAGTGAGTCTTATCTTGAGAGGTGCCAGTGGAAGTGGGGCCTGCAGAATGATGCTGCTTGACTCCCTGATTCAGCCCTCTTCCTAGGGGTATGTGCAGACTTCCTACCTTGCGTCAGTTGCAGGCATGTTTGTTGGCGATCCCAGGGCCGGAGTATGTAAAGCTCCTGGGTCTCTGCGCAAGCCTGAGCAGCTGTTCTGCCAAGACTCCCCACAGCTCTGTGTTTTGGACCCAAGGCCTTGGTGGCATGGGCTTATGAGGGGATCTTCTGATCCATGGATTACAAGGATCCATGGGAGAAGTGTGGTTTCCCAGGGTCGCACCATTGGTCACCGCTTCCCTTGGCTGGGGATGGGGGTTCCCTTGGCTCCATATCACTCCTGGGTGGGTCATTGCCCCACCCTGCTTTGCTTTGTTTTCACTCGCCCCTTTCATTCCTCTCTATGAGTGCCTCAGACTGCAGCTGCGTTCTAATCGGCCATCTTGGCCCCATTCTCAACATTTCAGTTTTAAATCTCCAACTCCTGCCGAAGAGCAGTTGTTTTCAAACTATCCAAAGAGGAAATCTCCTATCTGATTTTCCCCTTGCTTTTCTACTACCTTGGTCACCTACCCCACTTACAGCTACTTAAAATTACCATCTAAACTGTCCATAATTAGTGTACAGGACTCCACTGAAAACCTCTAAACTTCAGAATAGTTATCCATACAATATCTGAAAAAATACCGTCCTTTAGGGAGATTAGTCATCTATTATTATTTTAAAATAAAATTAAGATATGTAAGAGAAAAAATATTTTAAACTGTAAGACCTAAAATGTCAAACTTCTGATGAATGACACATTGTCCAAGAGAAACACATAGTTTTGACACTTGGGTAATGTATGCATCTGATTCAGGAATATTTAATACACAAAGTACAAACACAGGAAAGTTATCTTATTCACATTGCCTCAAGAGGCTGACCTTCTTAAAAGTGTTTCATGATAATGAAATGTTAATAAAATGAAATGCTTCTGAAATTTTGCCTTTTTATTCTGTACTGAAACTGAAGGTCACTTATCTGTTCTCCCATACAAATTAAAGTAAGTGAACACTGCTGCTTTCCCCTTGTTAAGTCTACCCATCTTCATCCTACGTCATTATTAGCTGCAGTGTCCTTGGTCCTGTAGAAGAACATCTAAAGAATTTGGACTTTTGCTTATTTTCTTAGATATTTCAGTTTGGGCAAAGTCAGAAGTGACTTGAAAACCTGAGCCATGTGTGAATTATAGGTTAAAAAACAACCTGCTTATAATGGGTCTAAGGAGGAACAAAGACCTCCTCAGGTCTGTGTGCTGCTGCGTGGGCTTGCTATTCCCTTGCAGCTCCAAGAAGTGTTGCACAAATTCCTTGAAAAAATCACATCACACTACACTTGCCATTAAGAACTGATGACAAGTTTAGAATTTTGAGCTTCTTAGGAAAAATGCTTTGTAAGTAAATATAAATATTCCTACAGTGCATTACTGTGAGATTGGCTGTCTAATCCCTCTCCCATTTTGGAAACTGCTTTCCCTTTTCCCCAATCATATGCCTGTAGGAAGAGACCCATTACCTCAATACTGAGTGATGGTCTGGGATTTAGCATTTTATTTAAAATGAATCAATAAATTTCTACCCTGGTATTTTGTAACTGGGAGCTAGAATTTAATCATAACATATACTCCATGTGTCAATTTTCTTCCCAATTTACTGTTATCTATCTCAAGTCTGTGTACAAGCAGGATTTTCTCATGTATTTCCTTGCATTGTCCACATAGCCATTACATCACAGTTCTCACAGTAGTCCACCTTGATATTCCTAGCTCCTTCCTAAGAAAACTTCGCTTTCCTGCTGGTCACCTCCCATATGCCTTGATGTAGTCACCTTAATAGTGTACTCTGTCTCTGCACTGGAACCAGCAAAATGGTTAATCTGTTCCAGATACATTTTCTGTACTGCCTACTCTTTAATCCCACGCAGCATTGCTACATAAGGTTGAACAGCTATATTGGCCTTTACAGACAGATTGAAGTAACTAAAGAACATTAAAACATAAAAAGGGAGAAAATTAAATAATGTAACCTCTACCACAGTGTTCTGTAACTCCATATGGAGATGTCCAGACCACAAAACCTACAAAGGTGATCATTCAAAAATATGAATAATCTAATTATGTTATAGATGATTTATTTTGGATCAAACATATATTTTGATAAACTAAATGTGCTTAAATATGTCTTGTGTCATTGAACATTGTAACTAGGAAGGTGCCTGTGATACACAAGAGGGTTTTAGACAATGGCAAAGGAAGGTGAGGAATGGTTTCTCACGCTTGCAGCAAATACTCTTGTAGGTCACTCCATATAGCTGAAATCTGGGTTTGCTGGCCTATGAACCCCTGTGGGACTAAGGAATATGTAGGTATCTGCTCTGTGTTCTATACCCATCCTGGTCTCACATGACACAGTTTCTCATTTCTTCTCTAGACAGATATTTTTTAAGCTAAGTATAGATATTTAGTTAGTAAGTATAGAAGCTAGTAAGATATTTTGAAGCTAAGTCTGTGATATTTGTTGACTGTCATATGCTGTGTACACCATCTAAAATAAAATAAAAGCAATCAAGAAGTTTAAAATGTATAGGGTAGCCTTTCATGAACACCTTTTTCCCTAACCTTATGCCCCGCTTCTCAGGTCTGTATCTCTCTCTTTCCCTTTTTTTTTTTTTTTTTTGAGATAGAGTCTCACTCTGTCACCCAGGCTGTAGTGCAATGGCGGGATCTCAGCTCACTGCAATCCGCCTCCTGGGCTCAGCTGATTCTCCTGCCTCAGCCTCCTGAGTAGCTAGGATTACAAGTGTGTGCCATCACGCCTGGCTAATTTTCAGGTCTGTCTCTCTTTATGATGCTACACACACCTTTTGGGATACTATGTCCCTACCGATAGGAAACCTTTGCTGTATGATGCATTTGACTTCTCTCTGTGGAATATTTTTACAGGTCTGAGTGATTCAGCCTAAAATAACAACCCAAGGGTTCTAAAAGTCTTTGTACCAGTGGTTGTCACAGAACTTGTCCAATTATCATTCTAATTTCCAGTAGGTAGTGGTGGAAACACACACACTCACATGTATATATGGAAAGTATAAATATTGGTTTTTATAAAACAGCTTAATTTCAACTCATAAGGAAGAGAAGAAATGTTCTTACCAGCCACAGGCTTTGCAAGGTTCGCAATCTCACAATGACATACTTAATATTGTCATTATGTAGATCAGTGCTAATTCCTTTCCTTTATCCCCAAATTATACTTTCAGTTTTATCCTGTTGTATCTGCTGGGAATGGAAAACAAACTCATTGTCAAACACATATCTCTTAAGGGCTGTTCCTTTCACTGTACGAAGTTCCAGTAGAAGCTCTGAAATTTATTATTTTAAGGTCTAAAATAAATTTTTGTCTAGGAGATATCCCGCTCAGATTGTCTTTTCCTTCTTCCTTTTCTATGAGGGAAGGGGAACATAATATCTTTCAATTACAAAGTTACACTTAGGAATTAGTGAGTGGTCATGTTTTCTATCACACAGAGCAAGTCAATCTATAGAAGTAAGGAAAAGAGTGAATGGACAGAGGAAAAGAGCCATGAGGCATTGTAGAGCCTGGGACTAGCAGTTCTCAAGACCTAGCTGTACTTCTGCCCTTCTTAGGACTGGACAGTTCTCTTCCTTTTATTTCACCAAGATATCATAGTATCTCTCCAATCAATTTCCTTACTAATTAAGGTTAATTAAAATTTGCTATATGTCACTTGCAAGCAAAGGAAACCTCAGTAGAAGACAAAACTAATCAAGGAAATGCACTGTGGCCTCATACCATTTGGTCCTATTTAAGAAAAGGTAAACATAATGATTTAGATAGGTGTTGTAGCATGCTAGCTCAGAATGTTAATATGGTTGCTTCCTGTGCATTTTGCTCCCTCTTAACATTTACTGCTATCCAAGAGCTGGGTTTCCTCCTCTTGCCTATAACAAAGCAGATGGAAAGTCAAATCCAAAAGGAAGATTCTGATATCTAGGCTTGCAGGGCCAACTTTCCCATCTCATAGACTAGAGGAGTTGTCGGAGGGTAGCACAGAAGTAGAGTATCTCCAACATAGAGCAAAGAGATATGGAAGAATAAAACCAGCGGTCTTCAAGGAGGGAAGGAGAAGGAATACTATCTGTCACAAATACCAATAAGCAGAGTGGAAGGAAAAGCAATTACCAAATGGATTGAAGAATTGGCACAACCTATGTCATCAACCTAAAGAAAACCGAGGGTTCAATAGTCTTGGGAACTTCCTAGCCCCTAAACAGGAGGAGGGGCATTTTGACACCTTGTATGAGGATGGAGGCATGCAGGAGAGCATCTTGCCCCTGATCAGTGGGGAACAGAACAGAACCAGTTGGATGTATCTGTATATTGGGACATCAACCAACACACAACTCCTTTTACAGAGGATAGCCAGTGCCCAATGCAAAAAGAAGAACCCAAGATTTCAACCACTTATTTGTGAAACTAAAATCTTGCACAACAGAAAACTTAGAGTTTACCCCTGAAAAACTACAACTTCCCAGAAAAAGAGAGAGAAATAAATAAGAGCTGTTTTCAAAACAGAAACCTACCAATTCACAGTTGGTTTCCGCTTCTTACGTTTCTGTTTTCCTGATTATCTTTACTACCCACTGTCATGGAAGAGTTAACTATAATATCAATTATTTAGGCATTGGAAGTCTAATCTCCTTCCTTCATCCTGCCTTTCTTGGGATTTCCCAAGGCCCCTTATTTACTTGTCATCTTGAAATGACACAAACATAGAGTTTTGTGAGATCATTCACAGCATGGCTTGCTCTTCACACCACCAAGGGCAATGAAACCACATGGAATCTCCCCATGCGACAAATTTCTACTTTGCTGTGACTTATATAATTTGTATACACAGTAAACAGGAGATATCACAGCAAAGGTCAACCTTGCTGATACTACTGAAAGGTCTGTATTTCAGCATCTTAATTTATTAGTGGCAAGTTCCTTGGAGCTCTAGATTTTATGCTGGACAACTCCTCCTTTTCCAAAAATGACATCTGAACTCTTTTGTTTACCTCTCTTTTCTTGCCAACTATTTTTCTCTACAAACTTTCTTTCTAACTTAGATCCCTGGAGCCTATTACCCAAGATCAGCAGCCTAAAGACCATGTTTATTCTCTGTCCTGAGGCATTTGGGTTGGTGGCCAGAAGAGTGTCAAGAATGGTTTAGTTGAGCTGATCCTACGTATGGGAAAGTAATAGGAAAGATGGTAGCACATTGTTAGAGCAGGTAGTCAGACAGACATGAGCAGGGCAGGAGAGGGACCCCCACAACCAGGAATGTCAGGCAACCATCAGGGGATGGTCAAGAGGTTGTTAAACTGTTTCTCTAAAATAATAATTGGTTGCAGCCAGTGTCAGGGAAAGGCAGTCTTCCAAAAAAAAAAAAAATAGAAAACTGAAGCTTGTGATCAGCAGCTTCCAGTTAAGATCTCAGGAGTTTGATGAGCAGCCTCAAGAATGAGCACTAAAAGGCAAAATTGCAGAGTTTAACTGGTCTATAACTTTCTAGGAACACATGATTGGTAAGAGAAAACACCTCAAATGAGCATGTGCACAACTTCAGTAAACACACTGTGCATGCAGCCCCACCCCAGTGCTGCCAGGCCACTGTGCATACGGACAGCCTGCCCAAAGAAAAAATCAAGGGAGGAGAGATACAAATCCAAGAACCATGCCAGTGTATAAAACCTCAAGTCAAGCGTCAAACAGCGAACTTGGAGTTCTAAAGTTGCCTGCTTGGCCCTTTTCCAAGTGTACTTTACTTCCTTTCATTCCTGCTCTGAAACTTTTTTTTTTTTAATGTCTAACCAAGTAACTGTTATGTACTTATTTGTATACAATAGAAGGTCATGAAAATTCTGTGTTGGGGATCACATCCCTGTTGCTTTCACACATAAATAAGTATTATTCTGAACAGGAGAATATTAGTTATGTCCTGATTAATGCAATACATACTTCCTTTGGCAGGTATTTCCTCTGCTTTAATAGACAATTTCAGAAAGACATGTTAAGGTTGGAAAATCACACAATATTAAGGATCTGAGGACCATAAACATCACATATGTTAAGTTTGCTTTTAGTTTTGTTTCCAACAGCTCTTACCCAATGTCCCTGGCTGTAATCTAGGTGCTAGAAGCATTGCAAATCCTTGAAAGTGTTTAAGATGAAAGAGCAATACACTTAAGATCTTCAAAAGTTTACATTAACAGAATAAGCATTAGCTCCTTTTAACACACACAACTAAATTAACAAATGAAATGTGTCTACTTTTATATATGCCCATAAAGCAGACAGACTTAACATTGAAATTTACTATTTTAGATTTTCACTCCTTTAAGAGCTATCAATATAGACACAAAAGATAATTCACATTTGAAAAATTATCTACCTGAAGAGTAGAACCCTTAAGAGGAAAAAGAAAAAGCCATTTTACAAAGTGCAACTGAAATAGGGGAGAAAAAAAAAGTTAGATCAATGTGGCAACAAGCTTCCTGCCAAAACTTTTATTGGTGACATTTGAAAAATAATTTTCTTAAAATACTATTAATGAACGTAAGTTTTGTTTCTCCATTTTTACTAATAGTTACACTACAAACTAATGCTCAGCTCAAATAAATATGTAAGATATGAAATCAGGTACTAATGTATCAACTTATTCTGCAGGATAAACCTCCTCCATACCAACCCCAGGATTACAGTTTTTCTTCTGTTTAAAACTAGGATGTTCAGTAGAAATGGGGCTTCCATTTGCAGAATTATTACAAACCAGTTTCCTCTCGCAAATAGCTAATATCTAAGACCATGACTCAAACTATCAAAAAGGAATAGGAAGAGAACACTCAGTTTTGAATGCAAATAGAAAAGGCTCCTAAGAATGTTATTTATAGGCCACTGCTTGCTTTCAGTAAAAGTAACATTTTCTTAAAACTTTTCCATCTAATTTTTAATAGCTTGTACTTTGTAGCTATTGGCAAAGCTTTTTTATTCCTTCTTAAGTATTTGCTCAAGTGTTAAACTAGCTTAGTTTACCAAAGTAACAACTTTTTTTCTGTGGTATACTTCAAAAATTAGTCACCCTACAATGTAGTGTGTTCAAATTAAACAGATGTATAGAGTTAAAATAATTAGTGTAGTCTCTATAAACAATTTCTGTTCTGGGATTTATACGTAGAGCTAACGTTTACTTCAGAATAAAACATTGACAAACAGGGAAGGAAGAGAATCAGAACTTTCACAGAGCTGTACTTGACCATATCTTATAGACAAAGCAGAATTACAATGCATGTAACAAAAACGTTAAAAGTTTTTTTTTAAGTTGATAGTTACAAATATGGTATGCAACAATTTTCTACTTTATTTCAGTACAATTTTCAACGTACAGTCTACTATTTCTCAAGATATTTGAAGACTTAAAACAAAATTCCTATAGACTACTTGCAAACAGTAAAATTTAAGTAAAATGCTTACATTCTTATTTGAAAACGAAAATCAGGTAAAAAAAAATGGTGGGTACAACTTCTGCTCTGCTGTAATCTTACTTCATGTTTATTATTCCTTTTCTTCCTTGCATCTGTCATTCTTTTCTTCATTATTTTCCATGGTCTCTTCTTCTTCTCCAACAATCCCATCCCCTTGGTATTTGTCATGAGTCCATTTAGGACTGCTACCTGATTTTTTGAAGTTAGAGCACCCTCTGCCACGTTGAAAAGTACCACGACCTCTTCCTCTTTTGGTCTAATAATCCACACCATCATCTCTGTCATGATGCAAGAAATACTTCTTGCTCTTTGGGATATATTCTGGATCCCATTCCTCTTCCTTCGGTCTCTTTTAAAAAGTAGTATTTGAGTAGTATTTGTCCCAGCAAAAACTCCTCTGTCTCTTCCTCTGCCTCTAATTCGAAAAAAGGTTCCTCATGGTTGGCTAACTCCTGCAAAGCCTGAGTATTCTTTCATTTCATGGTGAGTTTTAAATTCTTCTTCTCTTTCCTTCTTACTCTCCTTTTCTTCTCTAGAACTGGGAGAAGAAGGTGATGGTGAAGAGGATGAAGATCGAGAATGATCTTGCTCTCTATTTTTATGTTTACTGTCATCTTTGTAAGATTTGTATTCCTTGTAATCTTTTGGAGTTTTTTCCTGCTTTCTTGATCCACTGGATTCCCTGGGGCCCTTGGAATTTCCCCGTTCTTTACTTATTTCTTTTCTACGGTGATCAATGTCATGCTGAAGGTCAGCAGAGTCACACCTTAATTTTTTTTTATCTCCCTTTTGATTTTCTTCTTTAAAAACTCTCTCGTCCCCTGCTAAATGGGTATGCTTCCTCAGGGTACTTGGTGAGATGTCAATTCTCCTGTGTATTTCAGGGCTCTTTTGCCGAGTACTATGTTCTTCAGTGGCTTTCTGATGGGAAGTAAACCGCTTGTTTAGGGTCATTGCAGCTGACCTGAAGTATTGCTCTTTAACATGATGAACCAAGAACACAATGTGTTAAATAAATGACTCTGAAGTGCTTTTGCTGGCCTGTGGCAACTTAATGTGGTCAAAGATGGATCAGAATTCTTGCTCCTTCTTGACAGAATGGACAAGTGTACTAGCAAGCCGCCTGTCTTTAGTCAAGGAAGCAGGTCTGTTAGAATCATCAAGAGGAACAGGTGCCATTTTGAGTTTGACTTCAGGATGATGAGAATCACTTGCTATCATTTTGATCCTAAGTGGGCTTTCCTCTCTGAAGGTAGACTTTCTCATGCATCCAGATTCTTGTGTAGAGGGGGATTGTAATCAAAGAGGTCTTTGAGCTTTTCAGACTTTACCTGCTCAGGTGACTGAGTTTCTTTCTTTACTATTATTCTTTCAGAATTTTTGTCTTCTTCTTTGTGCTTATCTTTTGTAGTGCTAGGCCTTTCCACTACATATCCAGCTTCTTTAAGTTCATAATTTTTTTCTTCTCTAAATCCACCACTTTCTCTATTGCCTTTCAGTGAAACTTTGGACTTGTACTTGAGTCCTTCCTCCTCAGTATTCCGGTGAGATGCAGCAGCAAAACTTTTACCTTGATCTGTGAGGACTGACTTCCTGAACTGTCTATAATCCTCTGTCTCCTCTGTGCCATCCCCTTCTGAATCATTAAACTTTGTTTTCCAGACTCTTTATCACTGAAGTAATCTAGAGCTTCCTGATCTTCCCATTCTCCCTCTGCCCTCCCTTTCTCTGATCCTTTCTCTTTTGAAGCCTCTTTATCCCTGGCATTACCCCTATCAAGCAGGAATACTCTAGACTCTTCATCTGTGAACCTTTTTAGAACTTCCCAGTCTTTGCAGTTTCCTGATCTCCATTATCAGGATAAAATGAGGAACGGCCCCTAGACTCATCTCTTGGAGCATTCTGTGGTGCGATTGTCTTTGCAGGACTTCTTCGTGAAGGGATGTGATGAACTGGACTATTCTGAGAAGGACTGTATGGACTAGATCCATTTCCAACAGAACCAGACCCAGACCTTTCAGGACTATGCTGAATGGATTTTGAATGCTGAGAAGGAGTATTTTTTGCAGAGTGAACTGTACTGAGCATGGGAGCATCAGAGCAAGATGAACTCTGACTAGGTGGTGTAGCAATATGTGAAGGACTATGGGGTGATCTGGGACTATTATTATAAGCTGTAAGGCCAGGCCAAATATCACCGGATGTGGCTGATGAGTTACTAAATTCATCGATAGACTCAGATGGATCATGTTCAAATGTATCTTTCAGTTCCTCCTGTGATTTAGTTTTCAACGGACTCTCTTCTTGGGGTTCCCCTTCAGCTTTTTTGGCTTGTTTTTCCTGAGACCCTCGTCTTTTAGAAACAGGAGATTTGCTATATGGAGATGAAGAACGAGAAGAGAATGATCTTGGAGACCTAGAAGAGCTATATGACCAGTGAGATCTGCTTCTGGATCTTTGAGAAGAAACGGATCTTCTTTTTGGACTCCTGGAATGTGAACGACCTCGTCTAGGACTCCTAGAGTGCCTCCTATTCCGGACAGGTCTATAACCACCTAGATGATATCTACCTCCTCCTCCTTGATAATACCCTCTACCCCTTCCTCTGTACCCATAAGGTCATTTCATTCCTCTATTATTTCTGTACTCACGACGATCATCTCTAGAATACATACGATCTCTACTCCAAGACCTTGAATATGTTCTGGAACGAGACCTAGAACTGTGTCGCTTCTTTCTAGAATGAGATCTTGATCTTGATCGAGAACTAGACTGTCATCTAGACTTTGACCTTGAAGAATGTGATCTAGAATTGGAGCGACCCGTTTCTTTTCTCCTTGGGTTTATGTAGGATCAAGGAGTCAAGTGAAATCTTTGAGATACTGTAAAAATTCTTCCTGGAGAGAATACTCTGAGAAATTAAACTCTAAATTCAAATTCCTCACACACTGAATCGCAGTTCCGGGGATTTATTTCCATTGCGACTACACAGTGGCCATTTCCCAGCTCAAGAAAGCGAGGAAAACCATAGAGGTACCTTTGACGCGCTAGCTCCGCTCTGTCACTTCCTCCTGCTCTAAAACTTTTCAATAAACTGTCACTCCTGCTCTAAAACTTGCCTCAATCTCTTCCTCTGCCTATGCCCTTCAGTCAAACTCTTTCCTCCTAGGAGGCAAGAACCAAATTGCTGCAGACCTGTAGGTATTCACCACTGGTAACAATGTGACATTATTTTCCCGTGGTTAACAGGAGCATATGGGAAAATACAATGTTCTCTGAGCTAGAAGATATGGGTTCTCTTCCTCAATCTACTACAAACCAGCTGTGGCCTCTAGAAAAGTGTGAAATTTCCCTAGGCTTCATGGAATCATATACATTTTGAGCTAGAATAACCATCACATTTTGTAATTGAGACCCAGAGGCCTAAAGTGATTTGCTTGAACTCTTACCACTAGACAAAGGGAGAATAAATTCATTCCAAAGCACGTAAAGGCTTGGAGGTGACAGAGTATGATTCATTTAAAAAACAAATCTCTTGTTATTCTGCCAACAGCCAACTACCTGAAGTCAAATTGGGCATGAAGGCCAATTCCATTAGTTATGAAACTTGGATAAATGTTTTGCTGCATGTGATAACAAATGAGTAACTTAATTCTCTAAAATATGTTTAAACTTACCTAGGTTAACATTCAAGTAAAATATCCTGAAGACTGTGAGAAGGTTTCTAGTGCCCATGAAAAAACTGAACCACCAATGCACACATCACAGATTTCAAAATGGGAAAATGAATCATCAAAGGGAAGGAGTTCAAGAAAAAAGTCTAAGACGATACTGAATTTTGATAGGCAGAAGCAGAAACTCTCAAGAAAACTAGAAATCATTATCAGAAAAGTAATAAAAAGAAAGTAACCAGAAAAGAAAGCAATCAAAAAGAAAGACAGAATCTACATTTGCTGGGCATTTACCATGTGTCAGGTATCACGTTTTACACTTTCTTGTGTTTTCTCATATAATATTCAAAGCAACTTAAGAGGTTCAGATGGTCAACCTCACTTTGTAAATGAAAAACATAGTTAAGAGAGGTAAAGTGACTTGTCTAAGGTCACAGCTAGTATCTGGTAGAGCCATTATTCAAATTCAGATTCGTCTGTTTGACGCAAAATACTATGGTTTTGCACGATAACTCTCTTGCATTTAGAGCCAGAAGGGGTAGAACTGGTTAAACACTGGTTTAACTTTTTTTTTTCTTGTTGATATTTCTATTAATAGCATACAGCTCCTTTCTTCTTCAAAATATGTTTATATACTTATTCAATCTTTCTTCTTTTTCCCTCTGTCCATCTTCCTAAACATACCTGCATTTTTATATTACTCCTTTATATTTCTCCAAAAATTATTCTTTCTTCTTCCTCCTTCTTTACTCATTCAAGATTTAGTAGCTTGGAGTTCTTTTTAAGAAAAGAAGATACTATAACCATATTGACAGTTTAGTAACATTATTCTGAATACAATAATCTCAACAGTGACTACAAGTAGAATATTAGACAGAGGGATATTTCTTTTTATACTCTTCCTGAATGCTATTAAACTCTAAATGTTTGAGTTTCATGCTCACCAAGATAACATCAGTTCTTTTCCTGGCTACCTGATAGTCAGGTATGTCCACAGATCCTTAGCCCGTTTTCCTTGGTTTCTGCTAAGTAAGCTCTTAGACTGCTGTATTCTCCCTACTTCCCTCTTTATGCAATTTCTCTTTCATAATCCAAATTCCCACTATTGCTCTCATTACTCAATCTTTCTTTAGGAATTCCCATTCCAAGATTAATAAGCTAATATCTTCATAATCTTTACTTTGTAATTTCCTCAGTGCTTATAATTTACTATAGTTTAGTTCTTCCCAGGGAAAATGGCTTCCATGAATTGAATCATTTTCCAATATTCCAAGCATATGAAGACCCTAGGATGGCATCAGGATCCTCCTTCCTCTCCACCACCATTTCTAGACAATTACTCTTCTCTTCTCTTGTTAAACCTCACCTCCAACCCTTTCTCAGTCATTCTCACTTATTATTTATTAAAACCTTTGGCCTTTCCTTCATCTTCAAATCCTGTCATCACCCTGAGGAAACACATAACTGATTTATCTTAAATTTTTTCTGTTTAGATTTCATCACCTCCTTATACCTAGGGATCTCTTCTTAGCTCTATTTTGGGCACTCGCTTCCATGAACACATTCTGGGCATGGTTGTCAAATGCAGCTACTTCACTACTGAAATAATAAATATAGTACCTTTAGGCCGGGCGCGGTGGCTCACGCCTGTAATCCCAGCACTTCGGGAGGCGGAGGCAGGCAGATCATGAGGTCAGGAGATCGAGACCATCCTGGCTAACATGGTGAAATCCCATCTCTACTAAAAATACAAAAAATTAGCCAGGCGTGGTGGCGGGCGCCTGTAGTCCCAGCTACTTGGGAGGCTGAGGCAGGAAAATGGCATGAACCCGGAAGGCAGAGCTTGCAGTGAGCCGAGATCGCACCACCGCACTCCAGCCTGGGTGACAGAGCAAAACTCCGTCTCAAAAAAAAAAAAAAAATTAAATAAATAAACGTAGTACCTTTAAAACAACACTTTCCTATCCTTCCAACTTGCTTTGTCTTTTACACCCAACACATCATCAAGATCTTTGTTCAAGTCTATCAATTCCTCTCATTTTGCCTATCAATCATTCTTCTCTTCTCTCACTAGTGTCCTTAAATTGGAAAATTATGTTGACCAGACCTAAGGAAAAAAAAATGTAAATCTGAAATGGAGTTTTCTTCCCTGGGAGATAACAAGCAAGTTAACGGCAACTCCTTCAATTTCTCTGGCACCAAAGCCACGGGCCCTGAACTCTATTTCCTGCCTTCCCTCCTGCACAATACAAGAATTGTGTGATAAATTCTATGCTTTCTTGTCTTTGCAAAGAACAAACACCTATAATTACCCATTTTTACTTTTGTATTATCAATGTCTAGATTAAGCTCTTCACTGGATTAATCCCAACTACAAGCACATGTGACCTTCCATCTTTCACCTTTAAACATCTCGGGCCAGGCGCAGTGGTCACACCTGTAATCCCAGCACTTTGGGAGGCCAAGGCGGGCAGATTATGAGGTCAGGAGATTGAGAGCATCCTGGCTAACACGGTGAAACCCCATTTTTACTAAAAATACAAAAAGTTAGCTGGGTATGGTGGCAGGCACCTGTAGTCCCAGCTACTCGGGAGGCTGAGGCAGGAGAATGGCATGAACCCAGGAGGCAGATCTTGCAGTGAGCTGAGATCATGCCACTGCACTCAAGCCTGGGCGATAGAGCGAACCTCTGTCAATACAGTTGACTTCGTCCATCTTAAGACACTTTTTTGTCTGAGTCTCTGTGACTATGTAATCTCACAGTTTCCCTTCTTTCTCCTTTGCTCTCATATTCTCCTCCTCTAGGTTCCAAATATTGGAAAGCCTTGTATCTTCATCCTAGGCCCTTTTCTCTTTTTAACCTAGATACTCCCCTGGGGTAATCTTACCTACTGTCATGATTTTAAATACCTTTCATAAACTAAAAACTTCCATAACTTTATTACTAACCCCTGACATTTCCTTTTGGATTTCAAAGAAGCATCTCAAACTTAAAATTGCCAAACCACAGCTCTTGATTTTCCCCTTGTGTATTAAAGGGTTAACTCAGCTGACCCAGACTGCTTAAACCCTGCACATTTCAAAGATCTTCAGGTCTGGTTCCTGGGATGTACCTCTGAGTCCTTGGAATATTCTGCCTAATAAGAGTGTCTCTGTATACCTGGAGCCCTGGGACATGCTATATCAGCCTGAACTTCGTGGGGCAAGGGTGAAGGCTGGACACTGAATAACCAAGCCATGTGGGTGCCCCATGACTATGTGAATGAACTTGTCCAACCCTGGACACAAGGCTTAGATGAGCCTCCCTGGTTGGCCATACTTTATATGTGTTATCACACATCATTTATGGGAGAACTAAATACTGTTCATGTAACTCCACTGGGAGAGGAAAAGTAGAAGCCTATGCCTGGTTTCTCCTAGGCCATACTCTATGCTCCTTTTTCGTTTGCTGATTTTAATCTGTATCCTTTAGCTGTAATGGATCACTGCTATGAGTGATGATAATAACTCATCTGATTTTGGGGAGTCCTTATGGCAAATCACAGAACGTAAGAGTGGTCTTAGGAACCTCCCAACACATCTCTGAAACTTATTTCTCCCCATTTTTCTCATACTAGTAATTACCATCATGTACACCCACTTGCTCAAGCCAAGAATCCTCAGATAACATCATTGAATCCTTTTTTCTTATCCTACACGTCTAATCCATCACCAAGTCCTTATGGCTCCAGATTCAAAATACATCCTGAATCTATGTGCTCCTCTCCACCTCAGTTATTACCATTCCAGCCCAAGCCACAAGCCATATTTTGCCTAAACTATTGCAGTGGTCTCCTAGATGATCTCTTTGGTTCCACACTTGGAACCCTACAATTCATTCCCCATGAAGCACAAAGAGTGACCCTCCATTTACATTCCCCAATGGTTTCTCCTTGCACTTAGAGTAAAATCCAAACTGCTTTACTTGACATACAAGCCTATATGATTTATCCTATCTATATAATCTTCTACCACTCTTCTCACTCACACTGCTCAAGCCTTTTAGCCTTCTTTCTATTCATCCAACATTCCAAACTCATTCCTGCCTCAGATTAGTTATACCTATTTTTCACTGGCATGAAATATTCTTCCTTAATATTACAACCTGGCTTACTGTTGAGAACTCAATTTGCATGTCACCTCCTGAAATTCCTTTCCAGGCATATCTAACACTCCCCATAAGAGCACCATCACTCTTGGTCACATATTGTTGTGTTTTTCTTAATCATTTTTATCATGATCTGAAAGTCCCTTTTATTTTTTTAGTGACTTCTTGTACATTATTGTGTCTCCTCAACTATAATATGTACACCATGAGAGCAGGGGTCTTATAGTCTTATTCTTGAATAGAGCCTGAAATTTTCCAATATGTATTTGTTGAATGGTAGCACTTAGCCTACCATGGAAGTTAGAAAAGAGAGTCACAAGGGCAAATATTGATGATACCTGCTCAAACCCTAACTGGGTAGGATAAATTTAATTACAAATGGTGGTATATCTCTCATTTGCAAGATCATCCCTACAAAGAAATGTATGTGTCAGGCTACATTTGTCTGATTCAGATAGATGTATCTAAATCTCTTCCTTCTAAGTCCACGCTTTTTAACTAGATCTTCACAGACAAAACGGGTGATGGCCTTAAGCTATTGATGGCAGCGGCGGCCCATCTGGAGTGGCTGCTGCCAAGATGCCAGCTGCAGTGGGGTGGGAGGTGCAGCCAGGGCTGCATGCTCCCAGTAGCCGGCAGGAGCTGGGAACAGGTGGAAGCCCCACCCCCTTCCAAGTTGGAGGGGCAGGAATCCGGCCCTCTTGGGTGCAGCTGCAGCCGGCCACCTAGCCATGGCTGCAGACCCAGGCATCTCTGCACTCTCAGTGGCCCGGGAAGCCCCCACGTCCGCGCAGGCTGGGAACTCCCACTGCCTGGCCTCTCCCTGCTCCCAGCGCCCACTCCGATTTCAGACCAAAGTTGTGGCCAAGCCCAGGTGCTGTCAAGACCCTGCCAGGTGTGCGTGCACTCAGGGCAGCGCGGACAAGCCAGCCCCCTGCTGTCTCAGGCACCGACAAGCACGAGAGGGAGGCCAAGGGGGTGCTGAGTGTGGTTCCGCAAGGGCTTGCAGGTGGTGTCCCTCAGCACAAACAGCCTGGGGGCTGGGGATGGCAGGTTGGTGGCCGCCAGAGGCAGACAGGCTCCTGGGCAGAAAAGGACAGGTCCTCGGTGAAGCCCCACCTTCAGGCCTCAGATGGCCTGAAGCCTGGGGGCAGGGCTGCCAGTTCCGCCGCCTGAAGTGAGAACTTATGGTGCTTTTTCTGGTCCCACCGATGGCCACCCATGGACCAATCAGCATGCACTTCCACCCCTCTGAAGACCACAGAAACCCCAGACTCAGGCAGACTCAGACAGACGCCGGGACGATCTGCCTGCAGAAAGGAGCTACCCAGTGTGGGTCTCCTCTCTGCTGAGAGCTGAACAAACATCAGGACACCCTGCCTGTGAAGAAGAGCTACCCACTGCAGTCTCCTCTCAGCTGTTCTGTCGCTCAATAAAGCACCTCTTTGCCTTGCTCACTTCACCCTCCACTTGTCCATGTACCTCATTCTTCCTGGATGTGAGGAAAGAACTCGGGACCTGCCAAATGGTGGGAATGAAAGAGCTGTAACACAAACAGGGCTGAAACACACCCCTTGCTCACCACATTGCAAGTGACAAGGAGAGAAGAGAGAAGGTGAGAAAAGCTGTGGCCCTTCAAGAAGCCCAGACCTAGGAGCTCCCCGAGCCAGAGCTGTGACACCCACTTTTGGGTTCTGCGGTTCCTGGCATCTCTAAGCTTCTGGGCACCACTGCATTTCCCGGTGCCAACCACAGAAGCTGCTTGCAGAACACCTGGTTCAGCCACAGCCATACACCCATGTCAGTGCCTGAAGCTGCCCACCCTGCCACAACCAGCATACCTGGCTGTGCTTAGTGGCCAGACCCCATGCTCGCTTGCTAACACACCCCTTGCCACTCCACTCACTTTTGCCAGGTGTGGGATCCAGGCTGGTAGCATGAGCCAAGAGCAGCCTGCCAGGCCAAGTGGGCAGAACAAGCCCAGCAGGCCCAAACAAAACTTGGGTGAGGTTTCTGGCCAGAAGAGATACTCCAAGGATCCTGTGACACTATGTCACATAATTCATATTATAAATTAATCTATATTCTGATTTTATAAGAATGTAAATAGTATTTTTCTAATGGGATATGGCTGATATTGTCTATAATATTTGAATTTTTATTTCATCCTTCTTGACACTCTCCATGCCCTAGTTGTTGAATTCTCTCTTCTTCTCTGGCCTCTTGCCTATCTCCACTTTATCATTTCAAGTCCTAAATTAGAAAATAGGATTTCAGTTCCTGGCCTTCTGAATTTCTCAATCTATACTCCTTCCTACACATTACTCATCATTCCTAACTCAAAGGTCTCAGTTACACTCAGACTTCAATAAAGACCAAACCCGAATCTGACTCACTTTGGGAACTTAATAAATTGATGATGAAATCAACTTTTATTCTAATATGTCTAGTTTTCATGTCTGACTAACAAACATTTCACTCAGATATTTTGCCATTTTGTTCACCTTCCACTGTTTCAAAGTTAAATTTTCATCATTTCTCAAAATTGACGTTTTTCTTTCTGAATTTTCATATTTTTCTTAAAGGTGACTTTTTTTCTTCAATTTCTTAGGTTTGAAAGTATGCAGTCAATCTTAACTTCTTCCCCTCTCCATCAATCATACTCCTAGAACTAAATAGAGTTTACCCTTAAATTGTTCAACTTAAGAATCTTTTTTTTTTTTTTTCTGAGATGGTGTTTCACTCTTGTTGCCCAGGCTAGAGCGCAATGGTGCAATCTCGGCTCACTGCAACCTCCACCTCCTGGATTCAAGCAATTCTCCTGCCTCAGCCTCTCAAGTAGCTGGGATTACAGGCATGTGCCACCATGCCCAGCTATTTTTGTATTTTTAGTAGAGATGGGGTTTCTCCATGCTGGTCAGGCTGGTCTCAAACTCCTGACCTTAGGTGATCCACCCACCTCGGCCTCCCAAAGTGCTGGGATTACAGGCGTGAGCAACTGCACCCAGCCCAACTTAAGAATCTTTAATGAAAGAACTACTTTTAGAGGTATGGGCAAGTTGCAGAAATAAACTAAAGATAGTGATGGATTTGGAGACTGTCAATAGTAGGAAGCTTTTAATAGCTCTAGAGATAAAGGGCCAGGGATCAGAAGCTCGATGAGACCTTGAACTGTGTAGAAAGGACCACCCAATAGCACTATCCTTATAAAAGGATATAGTCATTGCCAGAGTATAGATCCAAAGTAGGGAGAATACGGGAAGAAAGACTCCCATCTTTATCTCCTTCCACCCTCAACTCTATTGTTGCTCCTCCCACTCAATGAACCCAACTGGAAGCCAGGTGGCATGGGAGCCCAGGTGAGGCAGTTTCCACGGGTCAGCCTTCCATGGCACAGAGCAGGGCAGAGAAGGAAAATAATGGAGAAGAAGGGGAAGAAAAGTCAGAACCTTCTATTTTCCCACTTCATTCTTATACCCCCAATTTTAATGTTGCATCAGTTGCTAAATATGAATAGTCTTCCTTTTAAAATACCTTCTTTAAAAATAAATACTTTTCTTTATTTGCAATTCTATTGCCATACTCTTTTATAAGCTCAGATCACTTCACTTCCAGAGCACTAATGTAGTTTCTTTCCTGAAAAAATCCAAACTACATACCACTACCAGATTGGTTTCCTTAAAGCATACCTTATTCATGTTACTCTCTGGGTCAAACACTTTTGCTGAGTTTCTCTGCCTGGGTCTTCCTGGCAGAGAAACATCTCCATACAGTTTTCTAGTCTTAAATCTCATTCATGAACAACACTTACTAATTAATCACTTACTATGTTCCAGACACTTTCCTAGGTATTGGAATTCAGAAATACACATTTTAAAATGTCCTAATCTCCTGGAGCTTTATCTAGTTGGGAGAGACAATAACCAACCACACAAAAATGCATAAATTATACTAGATCTTAGAAGATAATAAATTGTGCAGAAGAGAAATGAGGAGTGTCAAGGAATCCTGTAATTACAAAGTTGATCAAGACAGGCCTCATCAAGTAGAAGTCATCTGAACAAAGACTTGAAAGGCATATTGGAGTAAGTCACATGAATATCTAGAAGAAAAGCATTTGGGACAGAGGGAACAGCAAGTGCCAAGGCCCTGAAGCTGATGAATGTCTGGCAGGTTCTTGGACTGGCAAAAAGACAAGACTGGCTGGCATGGGAATGAGTGAGACAAAAACTGGAAGGAGATGAAGTCAGAGAGGTGATGATGACCAGCCCATGTACAGCCTCGTAGGCCATTATAAAGAATGCTCTACCCTAACCACACTGGTCAACACCTACATTTTCCACATGTACACAGCCATTTCTGCTTCCCACAGATTGCCTTGTCAGGATTCCTGGACTGGAAAAATTTCCTTATTTCAGTCTGTTCATCTAAAGCCTACAAGATCCAAGTCATAGCTCCCTTCCTTTGTAATACCTTCCATGACTACTGCAGTCTACAATGACTTCATATTTTATCTCACAGTTGCAACTCGATGTATTAGTCTTTTACATGGACACAGGGAGGGGCCATCACACACCAGGGCCTGTCAGGGGGTGGGAGGCTAGGGGAGGGATAGCATTAGGAGAAATACCTAATGTGGATGACAGATTGATGGGTGCAGCAAACCATCATGGCATGTGTATACCTATGTCACAAACCTGCACGTTCTGCTCATGTATCCCAGAACTTAAAGTAAAATAAAAAATATAATAAAATAAAATATCTCCCTAACTTGTCTATGTCTTTGTGATAACATCACAGCTTGAGGATGATGATAATGATTATGTGAACTCATAATGATCGTGATGGTTGTACCGAGAGCAACAAGGAATTGTTGCTTCCTTGACATTTTAGTTTTTGTCTTCCTACCCTTCCCATGAGAGGTAAAATTATTCCTATAATTGGAGTTAATACGAAAAATGCCTGACATCTAATATGCATGTAATAAATAGCAACTTTTGTTATTCATATCCCATAATTATTTATCACTATCATTATATCTAACTTGGAAGTGATGAAGACCAACTTTTTTTTTCATTGTTAAAAATACCTTCTAAATATGAGTGATTATTTGACTAATTCATGGTGATTTCTCTTTAAGTATTCACTAAATAGCTGAACTACTCAAGCCCCACTAAATCATATGCAAGCTTTGTGTATCTCTTGTATTAGTTCATTCTCACACTGGTATGAAGAAACGTCTGAGACTGGGTAACTTATAAAGGAAAGACTTTTAATTGACTCACAGTGCTGCATGGCTGGGGAGGCCTCAGAAAACTTACAAGCATGGTGGAATGGGAAGCAAACACGTCTTTCTTCACATGGCAGCAGGAGAGAGAAGCACATAGCAAAGAGGGGGAAAGTCCCTTATAAAATCATCAGATCTCATGGGTACTCACCATCATGAGAACAGCATGGGGGAACCACCACCATGATCTAATCATCTCCCATGAGGTCTCTCCCCCAACATGTGCGGATTACAATTCAGATTACAACTCAAGATGAGATTTGGGTAGGGACACAGAGCCAGACCATGTCATTTGTATTCTTATTTACTCTTATTATATTTATTTTCACAAATTTATCTCTTGCCTTCTCAACTAAACAGCAAGATCATGGGCAAAATCTTATGTCTTGTGTATCTGTGCACGCACCCCAGCATTTCACACTGCAAGTATTGTAGAATGGGTGTGGTAAAATGGAAGATATTCTTGGTCCACGTTCTGTGTATGTTTTCCACAACATCCTCACTTCTCTGTTGAGGGAACCCCAAAGGAAAATAATTTACGTAGTGAATTAATATTGTTGTTATCAACTTCAGATGAGGTCGACTCCTATTATATAAGCCAAAACTGGCTTTTTGCCATGCTGGTCCTTCCAAGAAGTGGCAGGTGATGGCTTTTACCTACAGCAGGGGTTTGTCCAGCCCTAAGCTAGTTGGTAGTAGTAAGAAGATATCTTATTTCTATTTTTATCTTAGATATGTTGGAAGATGGGAAAAACAAGTATCAAGATATTTGGTAAAAAACAAAAACAAGAATATTAGACTTCTCAAGGAACCAGAAAGGATAATTTTTCTCATCTCAGACCCTAAGCATGACTTTGCTAAATAAAAGACTACAGAAAAAGGTTGACTTACAGTTGAGTAAACTTAAGGGTGAGAGAAGTAAGAGCTCATGAAGTATCACCAGTTAGAAGGAGGTAAAAACAGGTAACACAGAGCTCAGCTACTGTGACTCCTATTTAGTGTTCTTCCTATGCCCTCTCAGTGTCTCTATGTAGATGGAGCAATGGCACATAAGCAACACACTAGTTGGTTTCAAAAAGTTAATTGTGCTAAAAGGAAGCACAATAAATAGGATTTTCATATTACTACCTGAAATTACAGAAGCTTACAGTTCATGATAAGAATGATATTCAGATTATTTTAAACCAATTTCCGTAACTATAGCTTATTAGAAATGAATCATGGTGCAGGTTCTTTTTTTTAATTTAAAAAAAAAGGTTTTAGGTGGACAGACATCCTGAGATACTCCGTGAATTATTGTTATCAGATATGGCATTTTGAGCCCAGAGTTCAAACAGACCTTAAAATCTCTTCCACATGAATATAGAATTTAATTATTAATGAAAATTAGCGGGGGAGACAACTTGATCTTCAGATAACTTGCCCTTCGATGTTATTGCAAGTTAGTAAATTAGCTAAGGGCTAATTCATATTGTTCCACAATTATCTCCATTGGCCTCATTTTCTTATGCTCCAAACACCTTACAAAAGGTAACAGTTTATGGAGATTTAAAAGAGAGTGGTGGACATGTATTGTGTTACCCATTCCCAGATGATAACATTACTCATCTTGTTTTGGGAAGCTGCTTCTCTTCCACTCCAACCCAGCGGTTTTAATAAGGCCTGTGTTCCCTCACACCCAGTAACTACATGAGCCAAGCCAGATCCCTTAAAGTCCTGTGATTTCTAAAAAAAAAAAAAAAAAAAATAGCTAAAGAAAGCTTCTTATTTTTTTGGCAACAAATGTGTACGTAGCTGATGGTCCTGGTTCTAGACACAAGGAGGAATCTTTCTGAGAGTGGCTTCAACTAAGAAGAAAGCAAACAGAGACAGTAAACTGCCCTTTTTGTCCAAGCTTGGGTTTGTGTTGGGTTTATTTACTTGCAACCAAATTAATACAAACTACTACTAAGAAAATGCCTTAAATCATAAATACAACTTTTTTCAAGGCATGAGCTGAATGTTTTGTATACTGTTATCATTATTTCCACCCAATGCAGCATCAAGCACATAGTAATTGCTTTTAAAAATTCTTGTCAGTGTTCACTAAAGAGAATAACTCTAACTATTTGAGGCCACAAGATAGATTGCTGCAGCCTTGGAGAGAGAGAAGGTATTTTGATCAGGAGGAAAAGAGTGTGTCCCTCAATTCATTCTGCACAAGCAAATCTTTAGGCACAGTCCTGGCCCTAGTTGTGTATGGTCAGACCTTACCAAATACAACCTACAGTTTCAAATCATAGTCTTGTAAATAAAAAAAGACTCCTTTTAATAGAAAAGCTCCTCTTAGGTTATTAACTTGATATAAACTTTTTTTCTCTTTGGCTAAAACTGGTTGATGTCAGGATGTCTATATTGAAAAGAGATATTTAAATTTTATTTAAAAACTTGGGATACATGGTAAATAAACATGGCTGCTGTATGATTTCTCTAACTGGGAATACACAGTATGATGAGCTAATGACTGGGAAATAGCCTCACAAGATCAAATCCTGAAGAGGTCCGTGACCACTGACTAAAACATGTTTACAGAGGCCATTTATGAAGAAGATTATCTCCAGATCAACATCCTCAGCATCTGACCTTTATTCTTACTCCCATTAAAGGCCTGTCTCCAGCACTTGGCTTCTTGCCTCATCACCAAATGCATACTGATTTTCCAAAAGATAAATACGTATAGCCTAAGAAACACATGTGCTTTGCAGAATGCAGAAAGCTAATGGCTAGACATTACTAGTGTTTTAATTTGCTGAGAGCTTCAGAAACTACTTTAACAGACATCGTCCCAACCTCATATTATTTAAGAACCAACAGGAGACAAAACAGTGTCACTAATGGAAAATAGAAGTACAAAAGTGTAGTGATGGAAAAAAAAGAGGTGAGAGATTGTGTTGATAAGTGAGAAAACACACTGCACAATAATAGCAGCTATTGAGCGATTATTGCATGGCAAATACTGTGTCTCAAAAACTTCACAATATATGTAGAATTGCCCTCCTTGAAGGGAGGAGAGAACTGCAGGTTAAGGTTAAATGATTAGTCAGAGCACCATATAATTAGGAAGTGGCAGAGCTGGGATTCAATCCAGGTGTGTGCCCAACTTTTAATCAATTGTTTAATTGCTCTTATTCCCTGACTCTGCAGCAGACTGCTAGCACCTTCTATTCCTTGCCTCTTAGTACCAATTTTCCATTTCAGATCCTTCTAATTCACAGCCTAGGTACTTTTCTACTTATAACGCTCCTTTTGAATCCCAAATGTTTCCTAAATGAGCATACGTGTCTTCTACTCTGTCTACATTCCTCATCAAAACAGAAAGGAAATGGGTTAAAGAATTTTAGGTATTGGTTTAATCTTTGCTGTTACCTCCTCATCTAACCGTATACATCCACAAACATATACAAACACACGGACACATCCATCGGACCTCAATTGACAGGATACATTTTTGGCAAGTGAGACACACAGCTGGAATAGTAGTAGCAGTAGTTACAGCTCTCTGTCGGAGCACGATAAATGATGGGGACCTCAGACAAAGGGTCTTTCAAGGTCAGGTGTGGCTCCAGTAGAACGTAAAGGACTACTTTGCCATTATACTGGTTGTGCTCCTTGACAAATATCTCTCTAAAATGTCCATCATTCCAACGTCTAAGAAGTACAACTAGAGGTGCTTAATCAATAGGTGAGGAGGGAATGAAAGAATCTGAGATGCATTTGACCTTTTCTTAAGCCTGTGCTTCAAATGGAGTCCCAACAAGAAAAAGATGGTTCACTCCAAGAGGTTAACTGATGGAGGAGACCTTATTACCTGACACAGAGGTACCCAGGGACTTTCAAAAGCAAGAAACTTCCATTCCTAGGCCTGAGATCAAAAGGAGAAATGATCTTACAGGAGCATAAGGAGAGTTGAAGCCAGGAAGGGACCCACATGACAGAACCTGCCATGGTGGAAGAATGTAGAGGAATGCAGCTTTAATAGCAGAAGGGCAGAGAGTGAGCAGGAAAATACACATAAGATTAACCTCTTACCTGCATTTCCCATTGTTCAAACCTGAGCAGAAGCCAGGGAGTAAGAGAGTCCAAGTGATATGATCCATCGAGGTCAGACTTTCAGAGCATAGAGCAAAGACAGAGACTGGATCTAAGGAAGGCCACATTGGAAAGGCAGGGGCAAATACAGAGTGACTATGCTTTTGGTGGGGAAATGAGTCCTTATTTTATTATCTAATGTATAAGAAGAATAACAAAAATATTCTTCATGAAATAATAACATGTCAGATTTCATCTTCTAAGGTTGGCAACTCTTAAGTTTTTTTCTGCTATCCCCAGATAACTCTCTCAAAGAAACTGCATATTTAAAGATAGGCCAGGGACAGCCTAGGGCTGATGGTGAAGGACACAATTTTCACCACTTTTCTCACTCTGTCTTCTGTAAAAGGGAGTTGTCTGACTAAGGAAAACAAGGAAAATTAGAGAACAGTGTGGACAGAGATTTGCAGGAAGAAGGAAGTTTCTCATCAGAATGTTTCAGGGTTTGTAAGAAAAATCAGCAGTTGAAAACATGACATGAATCCAGTGGCACTAAAAGTCTTTACTATTGACCTGCTACATACCTGACATCCCTCACAGCTATGCCTTCCTTCAGGTCCTTTATATACACATGCTTTTTAAACCAAGTTTTTAACCACAAATCAATAAGATTAAAAATAAGTCATCAGACATTTAATGAAGTCATGATTAGTTATCAACATGATTACTAATATGCACTGGCTCAGCAGAAAAACATTTATTCAGAGTGAGATTTTGAACAAATTGGTTTTGATAAGATAGGAGGCTCAGATGAGTATTCCCAAGAGAAGATATCTGGAATAAATACCATGCAGAAAAATGAAAAATTGAAGTAGGCCTTTCACTCATATGGTAATTTTTATCATCTTGTTTTTCTCAGACAGTATTTCTCAAATCAAGTCACAAGAGTTTCTCCGACCAGTAACAACATGTAAAAATATCTTCTGCTGACGTGAAGTCATTTTTTAAAGGCTAGTACAGTCATCTACTTAAATCTGTCTGCCTGAACCACTGCCAATGATACTCCTTTATCCATGGTGATAAAACCAATTAACAGTGCTTTAGGGGAAATTCTCTCCAAATTTAACTAAGGCACAGAGTTAGGGGAGTTGCTATCCCAGTGCCAAATTGGGACTGAGAGCAGAGGCAGCTCTGAAGCCTCAGAACTACATCCAGACAATGCATGGCTGTGGGAGCATCTGAAGGTGTACCCCAGGGCATATCTTCCCTACTTCCTGTCCTCAAACAGACCTGCCAAGACACTGCACCCCAGGCCCCACACACCTTCCCTGCCCCATTATCTCACCTGAGCCCTTGCCAAGAACAACATATTGTCTTTTTCATCCCATCGGAAAATTCTTGTTTATCAAATCTGAAAAATTTTGTCTTTGGAAGGTACATACCTTCTGTCCTACATAAAGACTATATACTGATAATAGTTTCTGATGGATAGAACAGGACAATCCCAAAATTCCTATAGCAAGCAGGAAGTGTGATGGCAAGAACAGAGAATAGGCCCAGGACAGGTAGTTCAGAGGAGGACTACAGCAGTTATCCTATTTCACCATATTCTTGGGATGCTTCCCTGAGAAGCAGGTATGGAGAATGGGAAGAGGCTGCCAGACTTCCCCTGAGGCAGACTTTTATCTACGAGCTGACCTCCCATGGTGGTGATGAGAAGGGCCAGAACACAGATGAGCTGCCTCCCATCCATGCTCTCTGCCCAACACAAGGAGCCTCAACCCACACTGATCACAACACTTCAGATGTGTCTGATTGGCAGCTAGGAAGGCCCAGTTACTTCTCTATTTCAAGTTACTCTGCCTCTGTTCATGCAGCTTAAGCTTTCATTACCTTTTTGGTAAATTGCAAATTCATAGTGCTTTCCCTTCCAGCCAATCAAATCTTCAACATGTAAATGTTTTTACTGGGTCAATTGACACATTGATAAATTGAAGTTCGTAACTGTTCCATGGTTAAGAAAACATTGTTAAACATCTCTGAAGTTTGGAGAAATTTAGTTTGTATGATAATAAAAATAAAATGCTCAAACTCTTGGATGTTTCTGATTTTTAAAATATTACTTCTGATACATACTTCTAATTGACACTAAATATTCATTCTATGATTCCTTAGTAATCAAAATATAGGTCTCAGTTGAACACTTAATAGAAGATTCTATTTCTCATCTTCCCTTGCAGCTAGATTTAGTCATGTAACCAACATCTGGCCAATAAAATGAAAGTGAAATGTTATGTGAGACTTCTTGTAAGTCTCCTTTAAAAAAAACTATGGATATAATGGCTAGTGCTCCAGCCACCATCTTGGTCCACCATGCAATATGCAAAAGAAGCCTAGAGCAGGAAGTCAGAAGGAACCAGGGTTCCTGATGGCCATGGCACTGCTCTACCAGTCCTGTGCGCCCTACCTCCAGACTTGCAGATAAATAAAACTATTGATTACTGAGGATTTTCTGCTGTATGCAACTAAATCTAACCTTAACTAATACAGAACCCTTCACCACCACCATCACCAAATACGGAGCACCTTTACTTTTTTTAAGCAAAGGTTTTTACTCTGCTTGTTCCTATATGAGAAGCCACAGTAAATTTGACATTCTGCCTGGGGTAACATTTTGTAGGGAGAGCTAGATCATGCTTGGCAAGGCATTTGCCCAAAGTTGTTCTTGGGCCAACCAACTCACCACAGCCATACTTCAAATTAGTTTATACCAATCATTACCCTATATTACAATCCATTGATTTGTCTTCAATTTCTAAAGTAGAATTGTTTAATCCTTTCCTTAGATAAGTGTAACACACACATCCTGGCCTCTACCCACAAATATTTGCAAGGACATGGCTGGATGTTAATACTGATCAGAGTTTGTGGCTATTGTCCATGTTGGCATGAGCAGTCAATGGCAAGAAAGGAGTTATCAGACGCTGTAAACTGTGCTTTTCACCTGAGTAAATAGTCTCTGATTTCTAGACCTATTCATGCAGATGCTTGGAACTGTAGTGCCAGCCTAGAGAAGTGGCAGCCATCACTGGGAGAAATAAGATTAGGAGAAACAAATAGGAAATGGGAATATCAACTAAAGGTTTGCAGCCAGCTTTCTCTGGTTGCCTCAGATTCTAGTTTTCCCAGAAAGGTTATATCTGGGTGAGCACCTGAATTTGTTTTCTATTTAATGGTCTATCCTTTTTTTAGTCATAAAATAAATATGGGAAGTCAAAGTCTACACCATTCCTTCTGAATCACCCCGATCCAAATGTCATTGGTGATGATGTTAATTCAATATTTGAGTTAGGCTAAAAGACACTGTTTAAATCATACTCATCAGATTATGACTTGGTGTAGAGGAATTTAAATATCCCTGCAGCAGCATAACAGAAAATAAACTTCTAATCCTGCCAAGTGAAGGCAAACTGCTCTTGAGAATTAAAATGTATCGTTCTTGAAAAGAATATTTTCACTTACCAACTAAAGGTGATTTTAGATATTTTCCTGATTAAAAACCACATCAAGCACACACAGCCTTATGTTTGGCACAATTTTCTTTAGTTTCCTTAATTTCGTAGTTAATGATTTACCTAGGAATATTGATGGCCAAATGGGAGGATGAACAGAATGCTGTTGGGAAAGATCAGCACCCACTCAACCTCTCGATCCACCTATTTCCCCAATTTCCCTACCAGAGTGCCCACTTCCCCAGGAATCTGAAACTGCTTCATATTTGCATTTTGGTGAGTTGCTCCAGACCTTCAAATCTGGTGTAGCTACTTGCCAGTGCTCTGCACTGTATGAGTTCTACTCATTCAGGAGGGCCACCTTCTCTAAAAACATAAAAATTAATTATAGTAATATACTCAGGAGGGGGTGAATTATCCTAAGAAATTTCTTTGGTCCTCTGTATAGCACAATCTTGTATTTGAAGTACTTTTTCTCCATATCCTTTGATGATCAGATTAGTCCTCATCAGAACCAAGTTTCCTGGAGTTAAAATTAACTTTGTAATTCCTGAAATTCTCAAATATTATTGTTTTTATTAAATGTCTATACTAAGTTTTAGAATGTAAGACCTCCCTAAAGACTTGCAATCTTGTAACACTTCTGAAGGAAAAGGATTTTGGAATTATTAGGCCAACTCTCTTAAAATTTAGATAGATGAGAATACATGTTAAATTTTTAAATAAAAATTTTATAATGAGATTAAAACCTTAAGCAGTGATTTTTTTTAATGAAGTTTTAAGCATCTCTGCTTAATGGTTTGGTAAAGAAAGAGCATCTCCCTTAAGATTTTTGACCTCTTTTTCCTGGTGTTCTTTCTCAGTCTCAGAAATTTGGACTGTTCAAGTAAACAGTCTACCACGATGTTGGTTCTGGTTTCTGCACTTCAGTAGCTGCTATTGTTGCCAAGAGTATCATTTTTCCAGTGCTGCCTCAATCTCCCTTGTAATTTTATTGATTCAAAACTAGGTTTACTGACGATTTGAAGTGCTAGTATTACACAACCCATTAGCCATATTCAGCCACATTATCTCCATTCAGACTAGATGACTGCTATGTAAACAGCAAAACATTGACTACTTAAAGTCTTTCTCATCATTCTTTACACTAGCCCTGTATCAATCAAAAGCTATACAGAGAAGATAATTTAAATCTTTGGTAACAGTAAAGAAGCCAATTTCTCTGCATGTGAATAAGAATCAAATTATACGGGTAACTGAGGAAACCTATTCTGGCTGATGTGAATAGTAGATATAAATGCAGAGATTCTCTTTACTGGCTTCCCTGACTCCTTATTTTATAGTTTGTTTTTGTTTTTGAATTTTGTCTAGGGTTTCCCTACATCACTAAATTTCGACCATCATAAACTCATTTACAAACTTTACATATATACAAAGTACTAGTTTCCTAAAATGTACCCAACTCTTACAGGGCCACATTCATGGGGGTTTTCTTACCAAGATTCCCTATCATCCTAGTAACAGACTCTCCAGGGATTTTGCTATCTGTTAAAACTTGGCCCTGATAGTTACATTTCAGAGAGCCCCTGCTTTAGGAGAGACAGACAAATCATGGATATAACCTGGTTTTTCCCTCCCTCTTTTAAGGTGATTTGCTTATCTCATTTATACCTAAGTTGATTGACAGAGATTGTATCTGATGATAACATTTCCTTTCTCATTAAGGAACAAAGATGTTTATTTCCATTATTTTCTAACAGAGATATAAAATAAGCAGTAAAAAATGTATTGACATAAAAATGTATTGACATAAAAAGTTTATTTCCATTATTTTCTAACAGAGATATAAAATAAGCAGTAAAAAATGTATTGACATAAAAAGTTGATTGACAGGTTGTATCTGATGATAACATTTCCTTTCTCATTAAGGAACAAAGATGTTTATTTCCATTATTTTCTAACAGAGATATAAAATAAGCAGTAAAAAATGACCCTGATAAAGCATAGAATGTTAAGGCAAAAGAATATTGCATATACTTGTCCTGTATCTTAGTTATAGCCTACAGAAATCATCCTTATCTTGTGGAAATAGAATGGCTTAATCCACGCCTTCTTGACTATTTCTTAATATTTTGCTAGGTCCATAGGCTCAGCATGTGAGGAAAAATTGTAACTTGCCATGATGGCCACAAAATCCCCTTGGTTTGCTGAGGCATGTCTTAAGGTCCCATAAGTTGTTGAGTGCCTAATTTCTTAGCTTTCCTCTACTACAAATCTGAACCAAGTAATAAATAGAACAGAAGCCAAATGTGAGTTAAAATTTGTTACCCATTTTATTCCTTTGCAAAGTTGAATTGTAGGGTATATCTTGGGATTGGTAGCGAACACAGAGACCTCTTACCACCTTTTATAATTTCAAGCCTAGATCTTGAAGTTCACATATGGGAAGAAGTGAAACACAGAGCATCTTGAGCATATCAGGCATCAAAGACCTAAGGGAAACAAGGATTCTATCCTGTCTGAACCTAAGAGTGAAGAGAGAAATCCATCAGGCTGGAACATAATTGTCCAGGTGCTAACCCCACTCAATCAGAATGAGGCTCTTGTCAAATTGTGTGTGCCTCTTGACAAAGAGACAGTAATGAAAACAGTAGGTAGAGGGACCAGAAGCATTTCACTAATACTGACTCCACCTGGGCAGTAAAGTGAACATTTTCTCTCATCTATGGAAATGCGAGATGCATTGCACTAAACCATTTTCCCTAACAAAAGAAGAACAAAGCAGAGTGTTGGAAGCCAATGAGTTAAGAAAATGAAATATCAAGTAGGCCGAGGTGCAACTTGCAAAGAACAAAGGGATACCAGAGGTCAATTCTATTAGATATTAGCAGCATGCCTGCTGGCTTTGGAAAAAAAAAAAAAAAAAAAAAAAAAAAGCTGTAGATAGGTGGCCAGTTGCAAAATCTGGTCAGAAAAAGTTTTGTTGGTGGTTTTTGTTTGTTTCTTGTTTGCCCAGACACAGTACAGTTTATTTTGTATGGTTGTTGCTTGAATTTGAATAACTTAAGCAAGGCATGTTTCTCTACTGCCTCAGTCACCATCACTTCTTGTTATCTATTCCAGATTCAATCCACCAATATATGTACTTATCAAACTTCCATAGGCATTGGAATTGGTGACTCCTTGCCTTTAATGAAACATACTACCACGACAGAAACTTTTATTTATTATGCAATACAACTGGTTTTCCCTGTTGACTGAAGAATTCTTTTACTCAATATATTAGATTTCATTTTATTATTTATAAATTATTCATAACCCAATGTGTTGTTCTAGTTTATGCAGTGAATACATACTGTTTTTAAGGAAGGCCTAAACTTACTTTTCCTCCAAGAAAAATGATAATCTACACCACTGCCCATTATCAATGTCATAAAATAATGCTCACAAATTACAAAGAATGATTATTAACTCCTTCCTGCTCCTGGAAATAAAAGTCAGTTATTTGGGTCTCAAATGTTACCTTCCCTTGCCATGAAATGCTGTTAGTCACACAGAATGTGGTAGTCAAAACCTTTTTTAGCAAACATTTAATGCATGGTTATTACATGGTTATTAGTGCTATAATAGTAAATAATTCCAACAGATTTCCTTCTTTTGACTGCAGACATTTGCCAGTATCAATCAATATTTAAAATGAAAGAGGGAATATCCAGAGCCTATAAGGAATTCAAGTCAACAAGACAAAAACAAAAATAACCCCATTAAAAAGCTGGCAAAAGACATGAACATTTTTCAAAAGAAGATGTACAAGCGGCCAGCAAACATATGAAAAAATGCTCAACATCACTAGTCAGAGAAATTCAAATTAAAATGGCAATGAAATACTATCTTACACCAGTCAAAATGGCTACTATTAACAACTCAAAAAACAATAGATATTGGCATAGATGTAGAGAAAAGGGAACTCATATACTGTTGGTAGGAATGTAAATTTGTACAACCTTTATAAAAAACAGTATGCAGATTTCTCAAAGAACTAAAAATAGAACTATCCTGATCCAGCAATCCCACTACTGGGTATCTATCCAAAGAAAAATAAATCATTTTGTCAAAAAGACACATGCATTTGCATGTTTGTCACAGCACTATTCAAAATAACAAAGTCATGGAATCAACCATGTGTCCATTGATGAATGACTGGATTTTAAAATGTGGTATGTATATCATGGAATACTATTCAGCCATAAAAAAGAATAAAATCATATCTTTTGCAGCAACATGGATGGACCTGAAGGCCATTATCCTTAGTGAAATGACTCAGAAACAGTAAGTCAAATATCACATATTCTCACTTGTAAGTGGGAGATAAACAATGGGGACACACAGACACACAGAGTGTGAGAGAAAAAGAAGATAGAAGCAGAAACAAGAGATAGAGGGGAACAAGGCATAGTTGGATGACAGCTTTCCACTTTTTCATTGCACTGGAGTATTCTCTTCTGTCAGTTCCCCAGATATCTGTCTAATAATTTCTACTTTTTTAGTTTAAACCAGCTTGCTTTGTTGATTATTTGTGATTAAAAGGAGCTTGAGTAGGACTTCATCATTTTCCTGCTCACAATATACTTTATTTTCAGGTCCAGTACTCAGAAGGAAGTTAATCTGTTTAAATGGTAACTCTATACACCAGAACGACTTTTTATGCCATGGAACTTTACAATCAGAAAGAGAAGAATATGTCATATTCAGTTTTAATCTGAAGAGCTTGACACAGTTCTTGGCACATAGTAGGCCCTTAAAATCAGTTTCTGAATGAATAGAATTGGATATGTGCTCATCAAATTTACAGATAACCCAATGGTGAGAATTCTCCTTTGGATTTTGTGGAGTAGGATCCGAAGCTAATCTCATAATTCACTGAAAGAAAAAGAAAGCTATTAGACAACAGCTTTGTCATGTTACCAACACCAATCTATAAACCAGTCTGAATCTGTGCCTATCCTCTCTGACCTTCCCCCAGTTTCAATGGAAGACGAGTCCTTCCTGTCATTAAAACCACATAACTCCCCCTAGGGGTCCCTCCTCAGACTTCTCTCTGAAAAGCTGGCCACTTTTTAATGAATGTTTAATTACACTCTCTCTACTGGATCCTTATCATCAGTTTGCACACATGCCCTTTTGTCTTAAGAAGCACACAACTACACTCACACACTAACTTGACTTCATATCTTTTGGAGTTACCTACTTATTTCTCAATTCTCTTCATGGGAAAACATTAGAAAATTTTCTATACTCTCTGTCTACTTTTCTACCTAACTTTCACTCTTAAGCCATTGCAATTGGGCTCCATCCCCAATGCTCTTTGAGACTTCTCATCAAATTATCAACAATCTTCCTGTTACCAATCCAAAAGATGATATTTTTTAATTTATTCAATAGCAATTCACTTAGTTGACCAATCCCTCCATCACATTCTGTGGCAGTACACCATTTGTATTTTCCCACCATCAGTAGCAACCCCAAGCAAGCTCCTTTATTGGTACATCTGATCTACCTGACATCTAAATTTTCGACTGCTTTAGTATCAAGTCCAGGGGTTCTTTTTTTATCAACCTATAAAAAAAGTGTTCTAGTTTGTGTTATTCAATGCCTACTGACAATATCCATCAAGAAGCATTAGCTAAATGGATGAAATCGTTATACTCCCTGTATATCTCCCTCTTCTATCTGTTACCTTTGCCATTAGTTCTGACAGTGCAGCCAGATCTGTGGGTATATGCTAGATCAAAAAGAAACACTTTTAAACTGTCTCTTGAGGGAACACTTATTTTAGGGATCAGTGAAAGACAGTGAGCTGAGCACTAACATCTACAGTTACCATTACAGGCTTCAGAATTTTGAGGCAGCAGTCAACATCAAGAAGGTATCCAGAGGTAGAGCAGAGAAAAATATTGGATGGTCATGACAGTCAAGTGTTTTTTTCCTGGGAATATTTGAGATCTCCCCGGGGTACTTTCTGAAATATGTGAAGAATTTTGAAAGGGAGGCTAGAGTGTCAGCAATTTCTATGGCGGATAATAAAAATGAGCAAATAACACAACTGAAATTATTGCCACCCCTACCTCTTGATTAGTATGGCCTGAAACATAATGATATATCTCTTATTTAAGTTCTTCATCACTTGATTATACTTGCTTGAATCTCTGACATAAAGCACAGTTCTGGTCAATTTGCTTTGAGATTGCAACATATTCAACAGCTAATATTAGATTTTATAAATCTAATTCTATTATTCTCCTTAACTAAAAGAGCTCTAAATATCTATCACATCCTTAACAATAATAAATATTTTGGTAACAAATATGGGCTTGAAATAGTTGTTGGTATTATTAGAAACAACACCAAGAATTTAAAAGCAAACAATAAAAAGTTTCTATTTTAGTAAGTTTTATTTACAAATTATAAAACAAAGCCTAACAAATCATACCACTGAAGTTTTTTAGTGTATAGGAAGATTCAATTACCAAAGATCCTTGACTTTTTAGATCAAGGTTTAAAAGGATACTTGGTGTATTAGTCCATTTTTATGTTGCTGATAAAGACGTACTCAAGACTGGGCAATTTACAAAAAAAAAAGAAAAGAAAAAAATGGTTTAATGGACTTACATTTCCACATGGCTGGGGAGACCTCACAATCATGGAAGAAGGCAAAGAGGAGCAAGTCATGTCTCACATGAATGGCAGCATGCCAAAAGTGAAAGAGTTTGTGCACGGAAACTCCTGTTTTTAAAACCATCAGGTCTTGTGAGATGTATTCACTATCACGAGAACAGCACGGGAAAGACCTGCCCCATGATTCAATTACCTCCAACTAGGTCCCTCCCACAACACATGGGAATTCAATATGAGATTTGGGTGGGAACACAGCCAAACCATATCATTCCACCCCGGCCCCTCCCATATCTCACGTCCTCATATTTCAAAATCAGTCATGCCTTCCTAATAGTCCCCCAAAGTCTTAGCTCATTTCAGCATTAACTCAAAAATCCACAGTCCAAAGTTTCACCTGAGACAAGACTAGTTCTTTCTGCCTATGAGCCTGTAAAATCAAAAGCAAGTTAATTACTTCCTAGTTACAATGGGGGTACAGGCATTGGGTAAATACAGCTGTTCTAAATGGGATACATTGACCCAAAACAAGGGGATACAGGTCCCATGGAAGTCAGAAATCCAGCAAGGCAGTCAAATCTTAGAGCACCAATATGATCTCCTTTGACTCCATGTCTCACATCCAGGTCACGCTGATGCAAGAGGTGGGTTCCCCTGGTCTTGGGAAGCTCTGCTCCTTTGGATTTGCAGGATATAGCCTCCCTCCCAGCTGCTTTCACAGGCTGGTCTTGAGCGTCTGCAGCTTTTCCATGCACATGGTGCAAGCTGCCAGTCGATCTACCATTCTGGGGTCTGGAAAACGGTGGCCCTCTTCTCACAGCTCCACAAGGCAGTGCCCCACTAGGGATTCTGTGTGTGGGCTCCAACCCCACATTTCCCGTCTGCATTGCCCTCGCAGAGGTTCTCCATGAGGGCCCCACCCCTGCAGCAAACTTCTTCCTGGGCATCCAGGCATTTCCATACATCTTCTGAAATCTAGGTGGAGGTTCCCAAACCCAATTCTTGACTTCTGTGCACTTGCAGGCTCAACACCACATGGAAGCTGCCAAGTCTTGGGGCTTGCACCCTCTGAAGCCATGGCCTGAGTCTACATTGGCCCCTTTTAGCCATGGTTAGAGCAGCTGGGACTCAGAGCACCAAGTCCCTAGACTGCACACAGCCCAGGGATGCCGGTCCTGGCCCATGAAACCACTTTTTCCTCCTAAGCCTCTATGCCTGTGATGGGAGCAGCTGCTGTAAAGACCTCTGACATGCCTTGGAGACATTTTCCCCATTGTCTTGAGGATTAATATTCAGCTTCTCATTACGTGGATTTCTGCAGCCAGCTTGAATTTCTCCTCAGAAAATGGGATTTTCTTTTCTATCACATTGTCAGGCTGCAAATTTTCTGAACTTTTATACTCTGCTTCCCTTATAAAACTGAATGCCTTTAACAGCACCCAAATCATCTCTTGAATGTTTTGCTGCTTAGAAATTTCTTCCAGCAAGATATTCTAAATCATCCCTTTCAAGCTCAAAGTTTCACAAATCTCTAGGTTGGGGGCACAATGCCACCAGTCTCTTTGCTAAAACATAACAAGAGTCACTGTTGCTCCAGTTTCCACCAAGTTCCTCATTTTTATCTGAGACCCCTTAAGCCTGGACCTTATTGTCCATATCGCTATCAGCATTTTGGGAAAAGCCATTCAAGAAGTCTTTAGGAAGTTTCAAACTTTGCCACATTTTTTGTCTTCTTCTGAGCCCTCCAAACTGTTCCAACTTCTGCCTGTTACCCAGATCCAAAGTCGCTTCCATAATTTTGGGGTATCTTTTCAGCAGCACTCCACTCCTGGTACCAATTTACTGTATTAGTCCATTTTTGTGCTGCTGATAAAGACATACTCAAGACTGGGCAATTTACGTAAGAAAGAGGTTTAATGGACTTACAGTTCCACATGTCTGGTGAGGTCTCACAATCACGGCAGAAGGCAAAAAGGAGCAAGTCATGTCTAACATGGATGGCAGCATACAAAAAGAGAGAGCTTGTGCTGGGAAACTCCTGTTTTTAAAACCACCAGATCTTGTGAGACTTATTCACTATCACGAGAACAGCATGGGAAAAACCCACCCCCATGATTCAATTACCTCCCACTGGATTCCTGCCCCCCCATAACATCTGATAATTCAAGATGAGATTTGGGTGGGACACAGCCAAACCATATCACTGGGATGGTTTGAGTTTGAAATGCCTATCTTAACCTCTCTGTTGCCGATCACTACATTTTTACCACCTACCATGTCCCATTATTACCACCTCCCTTAACCCACAGAGACATAAGGGAAAGGGGGCCAAATAGAAAATAGAAAACAAGAAGAAGAGCTAGTGTAAGACTATTTGTAGTCCCTAAAAATAAAGGAGATACCTTTAAGACTTAAGAAAAATAGGATGGGAGGGGAGGCAAGGCAATGAGGTGGAAGTGGAAGAAGAGGGAAAAAAAGAGTTAAGACAGGAAATAAATCAGCAGGAAAAATGGAGAAAAGAAATAGAGGAAAAAGGAAAGAAAGTAGAAGACTGAGAATATTGGTAAGAGGAGGCTGATAAATGGAAAGGAAAAATGAAAGGAAAGGGAGGTAGAGAAGGAGAAGATACTTTAGCAATCTCTAATGCAAAACTTTAGCAAGAACATAAATGCAGAATTCCACTGGTGTCTCTGTGGGAACAAGAGTAGTGAGAAATGTGAGTTAATAAGGTTATGTTTGTCACAGGTCTATTCTTAGAAATTGTACTCCAATATGTATATTTCAGTTTATAATCTTAGTCATCCGCTTGAAGAGACAAAATAAACCACAGCACATTTATAGCAAACTGTTCTGTCCTGAGCACCATGAAAAAGAATTGTTGTCCACAGTAACCATGAAAACCAAAATGAAAAAAAAAGTATAGTTTTTATTACATTATTGGGTGTACAACTCCTGAATCTTAGTCTGAAATCCAATGAAACCCACTGGACTGTAGTAAAATAAGAACAACAAAGACATAGGGACATTTTTATTAAGTTAAATGTATACCAATTGAAGTAAGGTCCATAGTTTTCAGAATGTGCCCTTTCTATATTTTTTTTGCCAATTGATAAATAAAATTTTTATATCTTATTGTGCACAACATGATGTTTTGTAATATGTATACATTGTGGAATGTCTGGATTGAGCTCAATAATTAAAAATAGAATTACCATATGACCCAGAAATCTCACTCCTGGGTACATATCTAAGGAAATGAAATCAGTATATTGAAGAAATAACTGTACTCTCGTGTGCATTGCAGCATTATTCACAATAGCCAAGATATGGAATCAACCTAAGTTTCTATCAACAAATGGATGGATAAAGAAAATGTGATACACACATACACACAGAAATACTACTCATCCTAAAAGGAAAAGGAAATCCTGTCATTTGCAACAATATGGATAAACCCAGAGAACATTTCAGTCATTCTCTTTCACAACTGTAATAAAATCCACACTGCCATGGTTTATAAGACCCTTCTTCATCTGGATCCCATACTCTCTCCCATTATTTACTGTACTGGCACTTGTTCCTTGGGCCCAAGAAGGACTTTAGATCCTAGTTCTCTCCACCCAACAAGCATGCCCTCGCTCAAGGATCTCTTCCATAGAGTTGCATTACTGACCCCTCACATAATGTATACCCTTAACCTCAAATACATCAAATCTCATTATCCTATTTTATTTTCTTTAAAGCTTTATCACTATCTGGAAGTATTTTGTTCATTTATGTAGTTTCCTTGTTAATCCTCAGCATCCCTCAGTAGAATATAAAATCTATGAGGCAATGACCACTATTCTTAAATTCGATAACAATGTTTGACCCATAATAAGAATGGAAGATATATTGATTAAATGAATAAATGAGTGAAAAAATTAACTATAACCAAAAACAAACATTTAGTAATAATTATTTAATTATTCATTGTAAAGTAATGAATGTACATGGAATTAAAATTTTAAACATCATAGAAGCCATTAAATTTAAAGTAAAATTGAAATAAATAATTAAAGTTAATTTCTCTCTCCCCATGCTTTGCTCCTGGTCCCTTTCTTACAGGTGGATTTTTAAAAATGTTTTCCCTTTTTGGTTTTTATTACCTCCATTAATCTAAATAATATCCTTATAACTGTATGTTTTGAGTTTTAAATTTTCCTGGGTGATTACTAAACTTTATTAGAGATTATTTACCTGATTTAAATCTGGGAACAATTTGTCCCAGTGTTTGGGGTTTAGGGGGTAACACATGGACGGTTCTTTAATCAATTCCCTCATTTCCTATTTCTCCTCCCACATCTGTTATCCTGCTCTCATTATTTGCTGTTTTGTGCTGGTGTTTCTCTGGAAGGAAAAACATTCTCACTTCTGTTTCAGTCATTCCTTCTGTGAGCTCTGGGGTACAGCTCCCTGTGCTTTAGTTTATTCACCACTACCAAACCATCTACTTTTTATCTTCCTGAAATGTGCCAAACTCTTTGACCCACTGATGTCCCCTAATATAATTCTCATCACTTTTTCTTTATAGTAATTTCAATGTGCTTCAAAAGGAAAAAAAAGTTTATGTTTTGTCTACCATAATTAATGAAAAGTTATCACATAGCAAACATTTACCAATAGCACTTATTGATGAAATTCATTTCCCAAGTAATTCTTATGCACAAGGAACACATCCAAATTCAAGAAACAAATAAGAAAAATTCAAAAAAAATCCACACCAAGACATATTAAAATTGGCATATGGATACCAAAACATTAAAATTGGCAACAATCAAGACAAAGTTTTGAAAGTAGCAAAAGTAAAACAACTTGTCACATACTAGGGCAGCACCATAAACCTCCCATGGATTTCTCAGCAAAACATTGCTGGCCAGAAAAATGTGGGACTTAAATGCTGAAATAAAGGAAAAAAAATAACCTGACAACCAAGAATATTATAGCTGGAAAAACCGTCTTTCAAAAGTGAAGCAGAAATAAAGATTTTCCCAGACAAGTAAAAGCTGAGGAAGTTCATCATCACTAGATCCACCTTAAAAGAAATGCTAAAGGGAGTTCTTCCAGTTAACATGAAAGGATGTCAAATGGATATATGAAAGTATGTAAAAGTATAAAACTTACTGAAAGAAGCAGATATAAAGAAAAATACAGAATACTGTAATATCATAATGATGGTGGGTAAATCACTTTTAATTCTAGTATAAAAGTTAAAAGACAAAAGTATTAAAAATCACAATAAATAAAAATATGTTAAAAGAAACAATATGAATACAGGTAACTTGTGACAATAATAACAAAGTATATGTATGAAGGAGAGAAGTTAAAGTAGAGAGTTTTATATGTGATTGAAGTTGAGTTGTTTACAGTTTAAAATAGATTGTTATAACAATAAGTTGTTTTATGTAAGCCTGGTGGTAACCACGAAGAAAACATCTACATAAACGAGAAAGAAATCAAAGCATATCAATACCAAAAACTCAATGTAACATAAAGGAAGACAGCAAGAGAAGAAAAGGTACAAAAGAATCACAAAACAGAAAACTATTAACAGAATGGCAACAGTAAGTTGTTCTCTAACACTCACTTGAAATGTTAAT
The DNA here is from genome assembly GCF_000001405.40 of Homo sapiens. Lineage (NCBI taxonomy): Eukaryota > Metazoa > Chordata > Mammalia > Primates > Hominidae > Homo > Homo sapiens. The sequence goes on from NC_000005.10 coordinate 110,980,952, forward strand.
GGAATGACCTCTTCAATCAAAAGACACAGAGTAACTGACTGGGTAGACAAAAAGATTCAACTATATGCTGTGCTCAACAGATTCACCTGAGATTTTAGGAGACACATAGGCTAAAATTGAAAAGATAAAAATATGTGTGTGTGCGTGCACATGTGTGTGTATATGTATATACGTATATATACATATATATATATATACACATACACATCCTATGCAAATAATGACCAAAAGAAAGCATGGTGGCTATACTTATATCAAACAAAATAGACTTTAAGTCAAAAACTGTCTCAAGATAGAGGAAAACATAGAATGATAAAAGGGTCAACTCACCGGGAAGATATCACAATTATGTGTGTGCATATATATATATATATATGCACTAAACATCAGAGCACCTAAATATGTAAAGCAAACATGAACAGAAATAAAAGGGAAAACACAGAAACACAATAATAATAGGAGACTTCAGTACTCCACTTTCAATAATGGGTAGAAGAGTTAGACAATCAATAAGGACACAGGTGGACTTGAACAACATGTTAGACTAAATGGGCCTAATAGACATATACAGAACATTCCATGCAACAGCAATTGAACATTCTTGCCAAGTGTACATGCAATTTTCTCCAGGATAGATCATGTTAGGTAACAAAACCAATCTTAACAGACTTACGAAGAGTCAAATCATGCTGAGTTTCTTTACTGATCATGATAGAGTGAGACTAGAAATTAATAGCAGAAGGGAAACTGGAAAATCTATGAATATGTGGAAAGTTAAAACATACTCTTGAATAACCAATGGTTCAAAGAATAAATAAAAAATCAAATTTAAAATATATTGAGACAAATTAAAACAATAACACAACATACCAAAACGTATAGGATGCAGCAAAAGCAGTACTAAGAGGACATTTATAGCAATAAACATCTATATTAAAAAGAAGAAAGATTTCAAATAAATTACCTAACTTTATACCTCAAAGAACTAGAAAAACAAAATAAGCCCAAAGGTAGGAGGAGAGAAATAATAAAGATTAAAGCAGAAATAAATAAAACAGAGAATAGAAAAATAGAAAATAGCAACAAAATAAGATTTGATTTTTTAAAAGATAAGCAAAATTGACAAATCTTTAGTTAGATTAAGAGAGGGATTCCAACAAATAAAATCATAAATGAAAGTGGAGATACTATAACAGATGTCTCAGAAATAAAAATGACCATAAGTGACTATTATGAACAATTATATGCCAACAAATTGGATAACCTAGAAGAAATGCATAAATTATGATAAACATATAACCTATCAAGACTGAATAATACATAAATAGAAAATCTGAACAGATCTATAAATAGTAAGTAAATTGAATTAGTAGCCAAAATCTTTCTAATAAAAACAAAGCCCAGGACCAGATGACTTCAAGTGTTGAATTCTATCAAACTTCTAAAAACTTAACATTAATCCTTCTCAATTCTTCCTAAAAATCAAAGAACACAAAACACTTTCAAACTTATTTTATGAGATCAGCACTACCCTGATACTAAAGCCAGGCAAAAAAAAATGATATTTAAAAAAGAAAACCACAGGTTAATATGTCTGGTTAACATAGATGAAAAAAAATCCTCCACAAAATACTAGCAAACCAAATTCAACAACATATTAAAGGTATACCCCATGACCAAGTAACATTTATTTCTTGGATGCAAGGATAGTTTACCATATGCATATCAATAAATGTGATATACCACATTAACCAAATGAAGGGCAAAAACACATGATCATTTCAACAAATGCAGAAAAAACATTTGACAAATTTCTTTTTTTTTTTTAATGGCCCAAGATATAATTCTGATTGTGGTCTGGATCATAAGTCTGCATCACATTTTAAATGTATATTGTCTTACAGACAACAAGGTATTTTATGGGGGAATGGGTGGGTGGAAAAATGGGAACAGGGCTTCTGAAGCTAATACCTGAAGAATATGGCAACATGAGAAAGCACTGACCCAGGTGCTTTGGTAAATGGAGGAAAATCATCTCACGCTTGTTAGGAACATGGGTAAGACCAGATTGTAGATTGCACTGAAAGACCCCTCAAAACAAAACAATTTGCCATTCCTTTAACAATTACTAATATTAAGAACTTGGAATTGTGCCATAAAAGACAGAGCTTAAGATGGGGTGGAGCCCTTACCTCCACTGCTCCCCTGGGCCTAAAGCCTGGTTTCCTTATGGGTATTGGGGCCACGCAAACAAGTCTCTGTTTTCTACACAGTGAAAGTGGGGAGTGGGACATGTCCCAGATGATCTGGAACAAGGCCAGGGTCCTATGACCTTGCTGGTGTGATGGGTGAGGTCCATAAGAAAATGGGCAAAGGGTCAACTTGTCCCTTCTTTCACCAAAAAGACCATGAGGTGTATAGCTTGTGGTCACCCTAGGGCTGCTGCCATCTTTCATGCCCAGAGTCAAATCCTGCACTTCTGTAATGTGTATTCCCCATCCTGCCAATATCAAAGATAGCTTGAGGAGGTAGGGTAGGGGTTCAGAAGAATCCTTCACCAGCTGTGAGGCAAGTACAGCTAGGTGGGATCCTGGAGGCTTGAGGGAACACACTGTGGTGGTTGGTCGGATGGTAGAGTGTTTGGTGAAGCAGGGCATGAGCCACAGGGAGGTTGTCAGGATCCATGCCCAGCTCCTGCAGCAGGCTATGGTACTCAGGCTTGGTCTCCAGTCATTCAGCAGATTGGTAGACTCCATCCACTCCAACTGCACCTCCCAGTACACATAGATCTTCTGGTTGAAAGTGACATATACGAGGCAGGAGCTGTTGCATCCCTGGGCAGGCATACAGGCCTGCATAGAAGGCACGGATATTTTCATCCACTTAGAAGCGGACGACGGTGTGATTGTGATCAATAATATATGTCTGTCCATCGCAGGCACATGGAACTACCTCCTCATGCCCATTGCCGTTGACATCCCAATTTCTCCAGGGCGAAGAGCTGGTGATCCACCTGCGCTGACCACAACAGCTTGTCTGCTTCCTCCATGAGCTTCAGCATCCCATCCAGTGTGCTCACGGCAAAGATGCCAGAGCCACTACTCTCAGTGCCATGGCCTTGTTTGTTGTTGCCAGTTAGGTGAGTGGAGATATTCTTGTTGTGGATATGGCCAGATGTCTGGTGCAGTACCACATCTCGGGCAGCTAGGGTCTCCCTACTGCCATCCATGACCCCTTCAGAGGCAGGAGGGGACCCTGTGTCCTTTTTCCACATACACGTTAGAATTGCATAAGCACAGCCTGGCTAAGACACCATCAGTTCAGGAACACCCAGCGGCCCCAGAGTCACTGAGAGGCTGTCCACCTGACCCTCCAGCAACCACTTCTTGAGGGACACCAGCTGCCCAGTCAGATGTTCAGGACCCTCACCTAGCTCCTCCCAGCAAAAAGCTCACACCACACAGTCTGTGTAGCCCACCACCACTCACAACACCCATCTCCGTCTGTGGGCGTGAAAGACACAAATTTCAACACTTTTTCATGATAAAAACTCTCAACAAAACAAGAAGATAAGAAAATAACCTCTTTATAGCAGCATGATTTATAGTCCTTTGGGTATATACCCAGTAATGGGATGGCTGGATTAAGAAAATGTGGCATATATACGCCATGGAATACTATGCAGCCATAAAAAATGATGAGTTCATGTCCTTTGTAGGGACATGGATGAAATTGGAAATCATCATTCTCAGTAAACTATCGAAAGAACAAAAAACCAAACACCACATATTCTCACTCATAGGTGGGAATTGAACAATGAGAACACATGGACACAGGAAGGGGAACATCACACTCTGGGGACTGTTGTGGGGTGGGGGGAGGGATAGCATTGGGAGATACACCTAATGCTAGATGACGAGTTAGTGGGTGCAGCGCACCAGCACGGCACATGCATACATATGTAACTAACCTGCACATTGTGTACATGTACCCTAAAACTTGAAGTATAAAAAAAAAGAAAAAGAAAAAGAAAATAACCTCAACACGATACAGATCATATATGAAAAAATGCAGTTAATATTTTTCACAATGGTGAAAAGTTGAAAGCTTTCCCTCTAGGATCAGGAATAAGACCAGGATGCCTACTCTTGTGACATAGTACTGAAAGTCCTAGCCAGAGCAATTAGGGATGACAAAGAAACAAAAAGTCTCCAAATCAGAAAGGAAGCAATAAAATTAACTCTGTTTGCACGTGGCATGATCTTATCTGTATAAAACTCTAAAGATTTAACATACACACTCAAAATATAAAAAGCATAGAACTAGAAATCAAAGTCAAAAATGTTGGATCATACAAGATCAACATATAAAAATCAGTGATATTTCTATACATAAACAATTAAGAAAACAACCCCATTTACAATGACATAAAACATAAACTACTAAGAAATAAACTTACTTAAGGAGCTGAAATACTTATACATTAAAGACAATGAAATATGGATAAAAGAAATTAAAACACACACAAACAAAAATACGTCCCGTGTTTATTGACTGCAAAATTCAACATTGTTAAAATATCCGTATTACCCAAAATGATTTACAGATTCAGTGCAATCCCTATTGAAATCTCATTGGCAGTTTTTTTCAGAAACAGAAAAAAACAATTCAAAAATTAATATGAAACCACAAAAGACCCAAATTGCCAAAATGGTCTTGAGAAAAGAACAAAGCTAGAGGCATAACATTTTCTGATTTCAAAATGAATTATAAAACTAAAGTAACATCAGAGGAGCCAAGATGGCCGAATAGGCACAGCTCCGGTCTACAGCTCCCAGCATGAGCGACACAGAAGATGGGTGATTTCTACATTTCCATCTGAGGTATCGGGTTCATCTCACTAGACAGTGGGCGCAGGTCAGTGGGTGCGTGCACCGTGCGTGCATGAGCTGAAGCAGGGCGAGGCATTGCCTCACTCAGGAAGCGCAGGGGGTCAGGGAGTTCCCATTCCTAGTCAAAGAAAGGGGTGACAGACGGCACCTGGAAGATTTGGTCACTCCCACCCGAATACTGCGCTTTTCCGACGGGCTTAAAAAACGGCGCACCAGGAGATTGTGTCCCGCACCTGGCTCGGAGGGTCCTAAGCCCACGGAGGCTGATTGCTAGCACAGCAGTCTGGGATCAAACTGCAAGCCGGCAGCTAGGCTGGGGGAGGGGCGCCCGCCATTGCCCAGGCTTGCTTAGGTAAACAAAGCAGCCAGGAAGCTCGAACTGGGTGGAGCGCACCACAGCTCAAGGAGGCCTGCCTGCCTCTGTAGGATCCATCTCTGGGGGCAGGGCACAGACAAACAAAAAGACAGCAGTAACCTCTGCAGACTTAAGTGTCCCTGTCTGACAGCTTTGAAGAGACCAGTGGTTCTCCCAGCACGCAGCTGTAGATCTGAGAAAGGGCAGACTGCCTCCTCAAGTGGGTCCCTGACCCCTGACCCCCGAGCAGCCTAACTGGGAGGTACCCCCTAGCAGGGGCAGACTGACACCTCACATGCCCAGGTACTCCAACAGACCTGCAGCTGAGGGTCCTGTCTGTTAGAAGGAAAACTAACAAACAGGAAGGACATCCACACCAAAAACCCATCTGTACATCACCATCATCAAAGACCAAAAGTAGATAAAACCACAAAGATGGGGGAAAAACAGAGCAGAAAAACTGGAAACTCTAAAAAGCAGAGTGCCTCTCCTCCTCCAAAGGAACGCAGCTCCTCACCAGCAACGGAACAAAGCTGGACGGAGAATGACTTTGATGAGCTGAGAGAAGAAGGCTTCAGATGATAGAATTACTCCGAGCTACAGGAGGACATTCAAACCAAAGGCAAAGAAGTTGAAAACTTTGAAAAAAATTTAGAAGAATATATAACTAGAATAACCAATACAGAGAAGTGCTTAAAGGAGCTGATGGAGCTGAAAACCAAGGCTCGACAACTACGTGAAGAATGCAGAAGCCTCAGCAGACAATGCGATCAACTGGAAGAAAGGGTATCAGTAATGGAAGATGAAATGAATGAAATGAAGCAAGAAGGGAAGTTTAGAGATAAAAGAATAAAAAGAAATGAGCAAAGCCTCCAAGAAATATGGGACTATGTGAAAAGACCAAATCTACGTCTCATTGGTGTACCTGAAAGTGACATGGAGAATGGAACCAAGTTGGAAAACACTCTGCAGGATATTATCCAGGAGAACTTCCCCAATCTAGCAAGGCAGGCCAACATTCAGATTCAAGAAATACAGAGAATGCCACAAAGATAATCCTCAAGAAGAGCAACTCGAAGACACATAATTGTCAGATTCACCAAAGTTGAAATGAAGGAAAAAATGTTAAGGGCAGCCAGAGAGAAAGGTCGGGTTACCCTCAAAGGGAAGCCCATCAGACTTACAGCTGATCTCTCCGCAGAAACTCTACAAGCCAGAAGAGAGTGGGGGCCAATATTCAACATTCTTAAAGAAAAGAATTTTCAACCCAGAATTTCATATCCAGCCAAACTAAGCTTCATAAGTGAAGGAGAAATAAAATACTTTACAGAGAAGCAAATGCTCAGAGATTTTGTCACCACCAGGCCTGCCCTAAAAGAGCTCCTGAAGGAAGCACTAAACATGGAAAGGAACAACCAGTACCAGCCACTGCAAAATCATGCCAAAATGTAACAATCATCGAGACGTGGAAGAAACTGCATCAACTAATGAGCAAAATAACCAGGTAACATCATAAAGACAGGAAAAACTTCACACATAACAATATTAACTATAAATGTAAATGGACTAAATGCTCCAATTAAAAGACACAGACTGGCAAATTGGATAGAGCCAAGACCCATCAGTGTGCTGTATTCAGGAAACCCGTCTCACATGCAGAGACACACATAGGCTCAAAATAAAGGGATGGAGGAAGATCTACCAAGCAAATGGAAAACAAAAAAAGGCAGGGGTTGCAATCCTAGTCTCTGATAAAACACACTTTAAACCAACAAAGATCAAAAGAGACAAACAAGGCCATTACATAATGGTAAAGGGATCAATTCAACAAGAAGAGCTAACTATCCTAAATATATATGTACCCAATACAGGAGCACCCAGATTCATAAAGCAAGTCCTGAGTGACCTACAAAGAGACTTAGACTCCCACACATTAATAATGGGAGACTTTAACACCCCACTGTCAACATTAGACAGATCAACAAGACAGAAAGTCAACAAGGATACCCAGGAATTGAACTCAGCTCTGCACCAAGCAGACCTAATAGACATCTACAGTACTCTCCACCCCAAATCAACAGAATATACATTTTTTTCAGCACCACACCACACCTATTCCAAAATTTACCACATACTTGGAAGTAAAGCTCTCCTCAGCAAATGTAAAAGAACAGAAATTATAACAAACTATCTCTCAGACCACAGTGCAATCAAACTAGAACTCAGGATTAAGAATCTCACTCAAAACCGCTCAACTACATGGAAACTGAACAACCTGCTCCTGAATGACTACTGGGTACATAACGAAATGAAGGCAGAAATAAAGATGTTCTTAGGAACCAACGAGAACAAAGACACAACATACCAGAATCTCTGGGACACATTCAAAGCAGAGTGCAGAGGGAAATTTATAGCACTACATGCCCACAAGAGAAAGTAGGAAAGATCCAAAATTGACACCCTAACATCACAATTAAAAGAACTAGAGAAGCAAGAGCAAACACATTCAAAAGCTAGCAGAAGGCAAGAAATAACTAAAATCAGAGCAGAACTGAAGGAAACAGAAACACAAAAAACCCTTCAAAAAATCAATGAATCCAGGAGCTGGTTTTTTGAAAGGATCAACAAAATTGATAGACCACTAGCAAGACTAATAAAGAAAAAAAGAAGAATCAAATAGACGCGATAAAAAATGATAAAGGGGATATCACGACCAATCCCACAGAAATACAAACTACCATCAGAGAATACTACAAACACCTCTATGCAAATAAACTAGAAAATCTAGAAGAAATGGATAAATTCCTCGACACATACACTCTCCCAAGACTAAACCAGGAAGAAGTTGAATCTCTGAATAGACCAATAACAGGAGCTGAAATTGTGGCAATAATCAATAGCTTACCAACCAAAAAGAGTCCAGGACCAGATGGATTCACAGCCAAATTCTACCAGAGGTACAAGGAGGAACTGGTACCATTTCTTCTGAAACTATGCCAATCAACAGAAAAAGAGGGAATCCTCCCTAACTCATTTTATGAGACCAGCATCATCCTGATACCAAAGCCGGGCAGAGACACAATGAAAAAAGAGAATTTTAGACCAATATCCTTGATGAACATTCATGCAAAAATCCTCAATAAAATACTGGCAAATCGAATCCAGCAGCACATCAAAAAGCTTATCCACCATGATCAAGTGGGCTTCATCCCTGGGATGCAAGGCTGGTTCAATATATGCAAATCAATAAATGTAATCCAGCATATAAACAGAACCAAAGACAAAAGCCACATGATTATCTCCATAGATGCAGAAAAGGCCTTTGACAAAATTAAACAACACTTCATGCTAAAAACTGTCAATAAATTAGGTATTGATGGGATGTATTTCAAAATAATAAGAGCTATCTATGACAAACCCACAGACAATATCATACTGAATGGGCAAAAACTGGAAGCATTCCCTTTGAAAACTGGCACAAGACAGGGATGCCCTCTCTCACCACTCCTATTCAACATAGTGTTGGAAGTTCTGGCCAGGGCAATTAGGCAGGAGAAGGAAGTAAAGGGTATTCAATTAGGAAAAGAGGAAGTCAAATTGTCCCTGTTTGCAGATGACATGACTGTATCTAGAAAACCCCATTGTCTCAGCCTAAAATCTCCTTAAGCTGATAAGCAACTTCAGCAAAGTCTCAGGATACAAAATCAATGTACAAAAATCACAAGCATTCTTATACACCAACAACAGACAAACAGAGAGCCAAATCATGAGTGAACTCCCATTCACAATTGCTTCAAAGAGAATAAAATACCCAGGAATCCAACTTACAAGGGACGTGAAGGACCTCTTCAAGGAGAACTACAAACCACTGCTGAAGGAAATAAAAGAGGATACAAACAAATGGAAGAACATTCCATGCTCATGGGTAGGAAGAATCAATATCGTGAAAATGGCCATACTGCCCAAGGTAATTTACAGATTCAATGCCATCCCCATCAAGCTACCAATGACTTTCTTCACAGAATTGGAAAAAACTACTTTAAAGTTCATATGGAACCAAAAAAGAGCCCGCATCGCCAAGTCAATCCTAAGCCAAAAGAACAAAGCTGGAGGCATCACACTACCTGACTTCAAACTATACTACAAGGCTACAGTAACCAAAACAGCATGGTACTGGTACCAAAACAGAGATATAGATCAATGGAACAGAACAGAGCCCTCAGAAATAACGCCACATATCTACAACTATCTGATCTTTGACAAACCTGAGAAAAACAAGCAATGGGGAAAGGATTCCCTATTTAATAAATGGTGCTGGGAAAACTGGCTAGCCATGTATAGAAAGCTGAAACTGGATCCCTTCCTTACACCTTATACAAAAATCAATTCAAGATGGATTAAAGACTTAAATGTTAGACCTAAAACCATAAAAACCCTAGAAGAAAACCTAGGCATTACCATTCAGGACATAGGCATGCGCAAGGACTTCATGTCTAAAACACCAAAAGCAATGGCAACAAAAGCCAAAATTGACAAATAGGATCTAATGAAACTAAAGAGCTTCTGCACAGCAAAAGAAACTACCATCAGAGTGAACAGGCAACCTACAAAATGGGAGAAAATTTTTGCAACCTACTCATCTGACAAAGGGCTAATATCCAGAATCTGCAATGAACTCAAACAAATTTACAAGAAAAAAACAACCCCATCAACAAGTGGGCAAAGGATATGAACAGACGCTTCTCAAAAGAAGACATTTATGCAGCCAACAGACACATGAAAAAATGCTAATCATCACTGGCCATCAGAGAAATGCAAATCAAAACCACAATGAGATACCATCTCACATCAGTTAGAATGGCAATCATTAAAAAGTCAGGAAAAAACAGGTGCTGGAGAGGATGTGGAGAAAGAGGAACACTTTTACACTGTTGGTGGGACTGTAAACTAGTTCAACCATTGTGGAAGACAGTGTGGTGACTCCTCAAGGATCTAGAACTAGAAATACCATTTGACTCAGCCATCCCATTACTGGGTATATACCCAAAGGATTATAAATCATGCTGCTATAAAGACACATGCACCCATATGTTTATGCAGCACTATTCACAATAGCAAAGACTTGGAACCAGCCCAAATGTCCATCAATGATAGACTGGATTAAGAAAATGTGGCACATAAACACCTTGGAATACTATGCAGCCATAAAAAAGGATGAGTTCATGTCCTTTGTAGAGACATGGACGAAGCTGGAAACCATCATTCTCAGCAAACTATCACAAGGCCAAAAAACCAAACACTGCATGTTCTCACTCATAGGTGGGAATTGAACAATGAGAACACCTGGACACAGGAAGGGGAACATCACACTCTGGGTACTGTTGTGGGGTGGGGGAAGGGGGGAGGGATAGCATTAGGAGATATACCTAATGTAAATGATGAGTTAATGGGTGCAGCACACCAACATGGTGCATGTATACATATGTAACAATCCTGCACGTTGTGCACATGCACCCTAGAACTTAAAGTATAATTTAAAAAAAAATAGTCCAAAACATTTCCCCCCCAAAAAAAAACAAGCAATGGGAAAAGGATTCCCTATTTAATAAATGGTGCTTGGAGAACTGGCTAGCCATATGCAGAAAATTGAAACTGGACCCCTTCCTTACACCTTACACAAAAATCAACTCAAGATGGATAGAAGACTTATATGTAAAACCCAAAACTGTAAAAACCCTAGAAGAAAATCTAGACAATACCATTCAAGAAACAGACACAGCAAAGATTTCATAATGAAAACCCCAGAAGCAATTGCAACAAAAGCAAAAATTGACAAACAGGACCTAATTAAACCAAAGAGCTTCTGCACAGCAAAAGAAACTATCATCAGAGTGAACAACCTACAGGATAGGAGAAAGTTTTTGCAATCTATTCATCTGACAAAGATCTAATATCCAGAGTCTACAAGGAACTTAAACAAATTTACAAGAAAAAACAAACAACCCCATTAAAAAGTGGACAAAGGTCATGAACAGACACTTCTCAAAAGAGATATTTATGTGGCCAACAAACATATAAAAGAAGTTCAACATCACTGATCATTAGAGAAATGCAATTCAAAACCACAATGAGATATAATCTCATGACAATCAGAATGGTGAATATTAAAAAGTCCAGAAAAAACAGATACTGGCAAGGTTGTGGAGAAAAAGAAATGCTTTTACACTGTTGGTGGGAGTGTAAATTAGTTCAACCATTGTGGAAAACAGTGTGGTGATTCCTCAAAGACCTAAAGGCAGAAATACCATTTTACCCATTGGTATTCGATACCCAGTAATCCCATTAGTGGGCATACACCCAAAAGAATAGAAATTAATGTATTATAAATATACATGCACACGTATGTTCACTGCAGCAGTATTCATAATAGCAAAGACATGGAATCAACCCAAATGCCCATCAATGATAGACTGGATAAAGAAAATGTGGTACACATGCACCATGGAATACTATGCAGCCGTAAAAAGGAACAAGATTATGTCCTTTGCAGGGACATGGATGGAGCTGGAAGCCATTATCCTCAGCAAACTAACACCAGAACAGAAAACCAAACACCACATGTTCTCACTTATAAGTTGGAGCTAAACAATGAGAAGACATGAAGGGGAACAACACACACTGGAGGCCTATTGGGAACATGGAGTGGAGAGGAAGAGCATCGGAAAGAATAACTAATGGATGCTGGGCTTAATACCTGTGTGATGGGTTGATCTGTGCAGCAAATCACCATGGCACACGTTTACCTGCGTAACAAACATGCACAGCCTTCACATGTACCCCAGAACATAAAAGCTAAAGGAAAAAAAAAAAAGAAAATATAGTACATCTATACCATGGAATACTATGCAGCCACTAAAAAAGAGAGATTATATTCTTTGCAGGAATGTTTGCAGGAACATAGTTGGAGCTGAAGGCCATTATCCTCAGCGAACTAATGCAGTAACAGAAAACCAAATACTGCATGTTCTCATCTGTAAGTGGGAGCTAAATGATGAGAACACGTGGACACAAAGATGGGAACAACAGACACTGGAGCCTATTTGAGGGTGGAGGCCGGGAGGAGGGAGAGGATCAGGAATAATAACTAATAGGTACTAGGCTCAATACTTGGGTGATGAAATAATCGTTACAACAAACCCCCATGACACAAGTTCACCTGTATAACAAACCTGCACATGTACCCCTGAACTTAAAAGTTGAGAAAAAAAAAAACTTAGGACAATTGAGTCACTGAACATGAGAAGCTTTCTAAGAAGACAGAAGAAAAATGAAAAGAAATTGAAGCAATAAAATAAAACAGTAGGTTATTCTATTCAATAACTCCTGCAGCAAAACTGAAATTAGAGAATAAATGTTAAAAACCATGAAAATGCTAAAACTGTATTCAGAAGGAAATTCAGAGCATTAACAATTTTTCTTAAACACAGAGTACAGAAAATAAGTAAAATTTGAGAGTAGAAGCTAAAGAGTAACAGAACAAAATACTGTATGCTAATTTTAGAAATCAAAAAGTAAAAGATACATTACAAAAGTCATTTGTGGGAAAATTTATTATACCAAGATAATGTAGAATTTTTAATTTATACAAACTTGGCTCTCATAAAATAAAATATTAATGTAAAATATTTTTAAAGAATAAAAAATGTACCTACAAAAAGCAGAAAAAGAACTAAGAATTAAATGCTGAGTATATAGTAGATTAAAAACAGGAACAGTAGGATAAGTATATAAACTCAAAAACTTGTTCCTTTAAGAAGAAAAACCACAATATGAAATGGCAAACTTAATGAAAAAAAGAAGGAAGGCACTAATATATAACAATTAGAATAAGAAATACAGGGATAAAAACTATCATTTATGTGCAGCTGTCTACGTACCAGAGACTTTGTTGAGTACTTTACAATCATTAGAAAATTTAAAACTACAACCTTATCAGGTAGATACTTGTATTCCAATTTTCCAGAGTAAACTGAGCCTCAGAGCATTAAGAAACTTGTTCTAGCCACAAAGCCAGGAAATGATAATGCCATTATTGGAATCCTAGAAGACTTGTAACTTGCAATATTGAACACTATGGAGATTAACACCAAATTAGAGAAAGTTATTTAAATTATGAGAGAATCCTGTGTGCAAGTCCACTGAAAAATCAAAAACTTCAGTGAAAAGAATACATTTCTTAAAAAAGTAAATTATCAAAATTTACAGAACATTTGATAAAAAGATCATCTCAAGTCAAAACCAACCTTAAAACCTGCATTTTAAATGCTCTAAATCTATGTATTGTTAGGAATAAGTTCTAGAATGCATTTAACTGGTCAATCATCCTTAGCCTATTTATTCTCTTCCAGAACAGAGAAAACAATGAAAAACTCCGTGATTTGTATGAAGCCAACATAATTAGCTGTATCATAGACTAAACATAGGTACCACAAAAAAAGGAGAATGAAGGTAAACATAATTATGAATATTTTACACAGAATTCACAAATAAAATATTAGCAAGTTAAATCCGTTAGTGCAAAGCTTGTCCAGAAAACTGTTGGCAGGTGTGCAGGGGAGTGGTAATTTATCTCAGCCCATGAGGCAACAGGACAAGGCTTGAGCAGCTTGAGCCCCAACACCTTTTGCCTCAGACAGTGATGATCTTGGTGGTGGGTTCAAAGATCTGAGCTGGGTGAGTGGGTGAGATGAGGGTGGCATGCCCAGCTGCTGTCACAGATGAAAATCAAGATGAGGGATGAGCTATACCTGGCACTTGCTGCTCTGCCACAGCTTGCTGAGCATGGGCAAGTTGCTGCTTTCACTGGACATCTACTTCAGCGGTCAGATGACTGCTCAGGGATGTGTGTCCCATTCCTAATGGTGACAGAGAATCCCAGGGGCACATTTCTGGGCTGTGGACCCATATGTTTGTGGCATATGCTCTCTCTAGAGGTCTTTAAACTAATGATGTGATGTTCTTATAATGCAGTAGGTTCTCCAAATAAAAGCTCCACCATGATTTTGAAATACTGTTAAAAAGTTTGGTTGGATTCAAAGCCCACTCACATTATGGTAAGAAATGTCAACATTACATTTATCAATGAAACAAAGGAAAACTTTAGCTTGAAATATAATTTCAGTGGTTACAATGTAAAACATTTCAGTGGATGTAAAGTATGTTTTAGAATGTATTACCTGCCTATGTTAATAAAGTTTTTTGTTGATGATGACTGCTGTGGTTTAAATGTTTGCATTCCCTCCAATATTAATGTTAAAACTTAATCGTCAATGTAACAGTATTAAGAGATGGGGCCTTTACGTGGTGATTAAGTTAGGAGGGCAGAGCCCTCACTAACAGGGTTAGTGACTTTATAAGGAATGGAGGGAACTAGCTAGACCCTTTTGCTCTTCTGTCTCTGCTATCTCAGGACTCAGCATTTGTCCCCTATGGAGGATGTAGGAACAAGATGCCATCTTAGAAGCAGAGGCTAGGTCCTCACCAGACACTGAAACTGACATTATCTTGACCTTGGATTTCCCGGTCTGAAGAACTGTGAGAAATAAACTTCTATTCTTTATAAATGAACCAGCCTCGGGTATTTTGCTATAGTAGCACAAATGAACTAAGACAATGTCCTACAAAAATTTAAAGAGAACACAACCAAGCCTTCATCAGAAAATTATGTGTAATGTTTTCAAGCACAAATGCTAGTACATATTTACAATAAAAGTTATGTCCATGGGAGCAAGATAAACTTCATCATAGTAAATCCAGAAATAATTTATTTGGAAGTTGGAAGTTTTAATTCAAATTTAAGGATAAATATCATTATATTAATATCATTTATTATAAAAATATAATTTTTTTTCATATTTCATATAGGTGACCTCCAACCTCCTGTAGTTTACCTTGGGCTATCATACAAGTACTACTATTTTCTATGTGTGCCCTGACCCTGATATAAGACAGGATGTATAAAACGTTAGTAGTAAATTAAATGAATCATAATAATAAATCACAATAAGATGTATTCCCAGTAATAGAACTATTAGAAAATCAGTTATAACATCTACATGTCAATGAAGAAAAGTGCTGTCTGCCTTAAATTGGCAAGATTACAAATAATGACCATGTGCAATTTGGGATCCTTGTGACAAAACAAACACCATGACACGCTTTTGTGTACTACCTAGCATTTCCAAGATTTCAACTTAAAATAATAATTGAACAAGAGAACAGATATCTATGTTCAAGGTTGTTCCAATTTTTAAAACAACTAAAACTTGAAAAATTCAGTGTCCAACAATAAGAAACTAGTTAAAGGTGACACACCCATAATATTAAAACACTGTACAGCCATTAAGAGACATCAAGTAAATGTGTTCAAGTTATCTTGCTATATAAGATATTCCAAAACATAATGACTAAAAACAGCAACAGCATTTCTTTCCTTACAACTATGCCATTTGTTCAGGGCTCATCAGAAACGACTCTGCTCTACTTAGAGTCATTTCAGGTGGCTAAAATGTTGGGGACCGAAATCATCATGTATCTCTGGTGATTGGCTGGTATAAGCCAAGCATTTGAGAGCTGGAATAGCTGTGGCTCCTTGGGCAATTTTTTCTTTAATATGGTTTTTCCACGTGTTCTCTCCAGCATGTCTGTTTCAGAATAGCCAGACTTCTTACATTGCTGACTCAGGGATTCCTGCATAGGTACATTTTCCAAAAGAGAAAGAGCCAAACAGAAGCTGTGTCACCTTTTATGACCCAACCTCAGAATTAACATGGTATCATTCTGCCATATAAAATCCTTTAGAATCAAGTCACTAAGTCTAGCCCATATTCAAATAGGAGGAGAATTAAACTCTAATTTGTGATGGGATGGGATGAAATGGAAGTGTCAAATAATTTATGAAAATGTTTTAAAACATCAACAAGATGTATATTTATTGACTTCCTAAAAAGTTATATATTATGAATAAAAATGTAACAAATATATATGCATGTTACTGCTACATATGGATTTATAGATATATATGAATGTGTAAATATCTAGTAAGCTAAATATAATCTCAAGGTTATGCACCAAAGAATTAGGAGTCTTCATATGTGGGTGGGAAGCTCAAAAGGCAAATTTACTTATTTTGGTTTCTCTGTAATTCTAATAAATATATACCACTGCAAAATTTAGTAACTATAAATAATAAAAAAATTGAGCAAAAATGTGAAGCATATCTCAAATAAATTTTTTAACTTTTTTAGAGTCCTGAAATAGTCACCTTCTTTTCAACTGCCTAAAACCTGTAAAGAAGAAATTCTGCAACAACAGAGGAAAAGTGTGATAAGAATCCAAGCAATTTTATTTGTTTAAATCTTCAGCCCCTTTTCCATATTCATGGTAGGCTCATATTGAATTCCCAGAAGTCTTATTTTTCAGGCCTGAGAAAGCAATATTGGCCACTGTAGTGGGTTGAATTATGTTCCCCCCAAAGATACATCTAGTCCTAGCCCCTGGTACTTGTGAACGAGACCTTATTTAGAGACAGAATCTTTGCAGGTTTAATTTAGTTAAGGATCTCAGCAGATTAGCCTGGATTTAGGGTTGTCCCCTGATACAATCACTGGTATCCTTGCAAGAGAAAGGAGAGAGAGATTTGAGACACAGAGGGGAAAGCCATGTGAAGAGAAAAGCAGAGTTTGGAGTGATGAGTCTACACACCAAGGAACACAAAGGACTACCAGCTGCTACCAGAAGCTAGGAGAGGGGAAAGAAACAGATTCTTCCCTAGAGCCTCTAGAAGAAAGAAACACCAATAATATCTTGATTTTTTTATTTCTGGCTCCAGAACTGTGACAGAATAAATTTCTGTTGTTTGAAGCTACCCAGTTTATGGTAATTTATTACAGCAGTCTTAGGAAGTTAATACAACCACCATTATATCCATATACGTCATATCATTGTCAGCTTCAAGATCCCAGTAGGCTGCTCTGTAACGGAAGACAAAGAGCCTGGGAAAATTTAATCTGCTCATTAACCAAGGGAACAAGAGAATAACAGGGATACACTCTAGATAGGACAGGCCTGCTGCAGCATGCCTGAAGCTCTAATACATGCAGGCTGCCTAATTCTCTTTAATTTTTACATGTATGTAATAGTTGTACATATGTATAGGGTACAGGTGATATTTTGATAAAAGCATCCAATGTGTAATCATCAAATCAGGGTAACTGAGATATCCATCATCTCAAAGATGTATCATTTCTTTGTGTTGGGAATATCCCAAATCTACTTCCCTAGTCATTTTGAACTATACAATAAATTATTGTTAACTTGAGTCATCCTATTGCACTACCAAACACTAGATCTTATTCCTACTGCCTGGCTGTATTTTTGTACCCATTAACCAACTCCATCTTAGCCCCCTCTCCCCACAACCTTCTGACGCTGTGATAACCATCATTCCACTCTCTACCTTCAGAAAATCAAATATTTTAGCTCCCATATATGAGTGAGAACATGCAATATTTGCCTTTCAGTGCCTGGCTTTTTTCACTTAACACAACGTCCTCCAGTTTTCACTAAATACAAAATTGTTGAGTGAGTGTCTGAGAGGTAGGTTCAGAGTTCTGTTTCTTTGAGCATCTACTCAATCTTTAGCACCATAAAATACGCCAGCTCTTATTCAATTAATTATTTGGACAAAAATATATATTCAATCCTCACAAGGAATAGAGTGGTATCCTAAAGACTGAAAAACACTTTGAATAGTTTTCCTTAATATATACTTCAACAGAAGTAGAGAAAAGAAATAAAAAGGACAAAAGAGACAGAAGCTAGGAATAAAAGAAGGAGGAGAAAATTAAAGAAGAGTAACTTGAGGTATTCTTAGTAATTAACTATATTCTCTGGTCTAATATATTAAAATTTTACCTTTCTAAGACTACCAACAATTCTGATGGAGAGAGAGGACAAAGCACTATAAATGCTTAGGCAAACTTCCAACAAACATTACACAAAGTAAATTTTCCATTGTCTAAGAAACATGCTTTTTTCCCTAGGGTTTGTTCCGAAAGATGACCCTATTCAGAACTGTAGAAAATAAAAAGTTCCTCTTCAAATTTCTCTTCTTGTTAAAGAATAAATCATAAGTGTTAGAAATAATAGTTTCTTTTAAAGACTAACTTTATGCTGGACATGCTCACAGGCACGTAGTACATTCTATGTCCTTGTACTTTAACCAAGATATCTATGCTAGACATGCTCACAGGCATGTCCCAGCTTACAGCCTATGCCCCTTCCTTATTTAGGAATGCTATTACTCTTCTAAGTCCTTTTGTAAGGAACTTCCTCTTTTCCTTTGTCTATTGCCTTTACCTATTTAGAAAAGTTTTAAATTATTAGCCAATTGGGTTTTAGTTCAGATTGTGTGGTCTGGCTCCAGCCAATGGAGACAGGACACAGTAGCAAGGACAAACTGCATACGAGATAAAAATTACTTCCCTCCTTTGTTCAGATGTGCTCTCGCCATTGTTCCATCTGTGATGAACACCCTTTCTGCACAAAGTAAAGATTGCCTTGCCGACAGAATTAAATTTATGTTTGAGTGCTATTTCTTTGCAGCACTGGGAAACAAGCATTATGTTTCTAAATAAACATTTTACATATAACAAGAACCAACTTGCAAGTTTCAGGTCTGTTTCATGCAGATCTGAGTAGTTGGGAAAGTGTTTCAGTTTCCCTCCTCAAATTTCTTTTATTGTACTCTCTCACCATGGTCCATTTTTTTCTGACCTCACAGCCCAGTAACCAAATGTATATTTAGAAACCAGGATCTCCCTTTGCACTGTATCTTCTTAAACTGTCTGCCCAGGAAGATTCTCCAAGTTGGGATCTGCCTGGCCCAATTCTTGCTCCCCATCACTTCCAACAAGCATTAGCTGTTACATGAATCAGTTCCCTCTGGGTCTTTTTCTTTACTCAGTGACATCCAGAGGTAAAAATAAACTCACATCTGTGATGATGTAAGGGAATTCTTGAACTCTTCACTTTGTCTTCATATGGTCAACCAATGGATGAGATTAAGAGTTTGTTTTGAACCATGTGGAATTTGAGACACTTATGAGACATTCATGTTAAGATACTTAGTATACAGCTGAAAATGTTGGTCTCAGGAGAAAAGCAAAAAGTAAGATACTCTTTTGGGAGTTGATAATTAGGCAGTAGCTAGAATCATAAAACTGGATGAAATCAACAAAAAGAAACCACCTGGGAAGTCCAAGGAAGAATTACTGGGAACACAAACATGAAACAAAAGTGAGAAGGGATGGGCGAATTACTGAAACCTATGGAGGATAGACCAGACAGACTGAAGTGAGCTAGGAGATTGTGTGTCAGGGAGAAGAGAATGTCAAGAAAAAGGGAAATGGCCAGCAGAATATAATGCCCACAGATGGATGAAGAATGCTAAGAAGCAATGACTTTACAATTGGCAATGTGAAATTTGAAACTTCAGTGAGAACTGTTTTTCAAAAGGTATTGGCTGGGTGCGGTGGCTCACACCTGTAATCCCAAAACTTTGGGAGGCCTAGGCGGGTGGATCACAAGGTCAGGAGTTCGAGAGCAGCCTGGCCAATACGGTGAAACCCGGTCTCCACTAAAAATACAAAAATTAGCCAGGCATGGTGGCAGGTGCCTGTAGTCCCAGCTACTCAGGAGGCTGAGGCAGGAGAATTGCTTGAACCCAGAAGGCAGAGGTTGCAATGAGCTGACATCGTGCCACTGCACTCCAGCCTGGGCAAAAGAGTGAGACTCCATCTCAAAAAAAAATAAAAAAGATATTAATAGAAGCCAGAGAATGATGCTTGACACATGAATTAGAGTTGAAGTTGAAAAGAAAAATGTGGATTAGAAGTTGAAGTGGTTCATTTAGTAGTAGTGGAATTAAGAGGAAAATTTTTACAATGTTAGAACTTGTTTTCTGGTCTGGAAAAAAGGCAGTAGAAAAGAAACGATTGATAAAAAAGAAAGAAGATATAATTGACAGACAGAGATCTTGGAGCAACCAGAAGACACATTGAAGAATTTGAGGAAAAAAGACAAGGAGTGAGGGGATACAGCCAAGAAAATAATAAATTAGGAACTGAAAAGCAGGAAGGGCAAGGTTATTCAATGGCTATGGCCTCTATTTTTTCAGCAAAGGAAAGGAAAAGTTTAGCTACTGAGAATGAGATATACAAAATAATGGGACTTCTGAGGTATTTTGGAATAACCATTAAGGGAAATGACCAGGAGTAGGCACAGAATTTCCAAAATGTAATAGAGTTGAAATTCATAAACATGGCATATACAGATTGTGGGATTTTCCTTTTACTTGAAGAGTCCTAAAGCTTTGTAGCAAGAACAGAAAAGTAAGCAGCTCCTAAGAGCCAATGTGCAGTGTGGGAGAATAAAAGTTATTCATCATGAAACAGGCATTTTGGTCTTTTTGGGCTACTGCAACAAAAATATCATAAACTGGGTGGCTTACAAACAATACACTTTTATTTATGACAGTTTTAGAGACTGAGAAATCCAAGGCAACAGCAGACTTGGTGTCTGGTAAGGGCTATTTCCTGGTTCATAGATGGCACTTTTTTTGTAGTGTCCTCACATGGAAAAGAGACTAGCTAGCTCTCTGTGGTCTCTTTTTACAAGAGTGCTAATCTCAATCATAAAGGCTTTATGCTCATGATCTAATCACCTACCAAAGGTCCCACCACTTAATACCATTACCTTAGAGGTTAGGATTTAAATCTATGAATTTTTTGAAAATACAAAGCTGCCACAGGGTTGAGGCCACCACAGAGAGCACCTACTAGGGGAATGCTCCTTGGAGCCGTGGGGCAAGGCCACCCCCATTACCTCAGACTGGTAGGACTGTCTGCATATACAAGTCCAGCCTGGGAGAGCCACAGGCACATGACTCCAAACCCTTGAGAGCTGGGATGAGGGCTGCACCTGGAAAGCCATGAGGGTAAAGGCTGTCCAGAACCTTGAGGGCCCAACCTCCACCTCGCCGTGACCAGAAGGTGGAATATGCAGTCAAACAAGCTTATTCTAGAGACTTAAGATTTAATGTTGTTTGCCCTGTTGGGATTTCCAACTTACTTGGGACCTGATACCCTCTTCTTTCCTATTTCTCCATTATGAAATGGGAATGTCCTACACCTGTCTCACCATTGTATTTTGGAAGCATGTAACATGTTTGATTTCATAGCTCACGGATGGAGAGAAATCTGCCTAAGGATGAATCATACCTTGAGTCTCACCCATATCTGATTTAAATGATATTTACACCACACTCTGAACCTTAGACTTTTGAGTTGACTGAGTTAAGACTTTCGAGGCTATTAGAATGGAATAAATGCATTTTGCATGCGAGAAGGACATGAATTTGGTGGGGCAGGTGGTGGCAGTGGTGCAGAATGTGAGTGTTCATGTTTCTCATCCAAATTCATGTTTAAATCCTAACCCTCAAGGTGATGGTATCAAGAGGCAGGGCCTTTGGAGTGATTAGATCACCAGGTCATAACGTCATAACGCTTGTGATTGGATTAGTGTCCTTATAAAAGAGATCACAGAGCTAGCTAGTCCCTCCCACCATGTGAGGACACAGTGAGAAGACATTATCTATGAGAAAGCAAGCCCTCACCAGACACCAACTCTGCTGGTGCCTTGATCTTAAACTTCTCAGTCTCCAGAACTGTGAGAAATAAATGTTTGTTGTTTATAAGCTACCTGGTTTATAAAATTTTTGTTATAGCAGCCCAAACAGACTAATTCAGTGGGTCTTCACAATGACATCAAATCATAAAGGGAGAATGGGTTGGAAGGCTTGCAGATTCTAAGAACTCAAGAATTCAATAAATTTCATTCAAGACTTATTCACTATTCATCTACCACATGCCATACTCAGTGCTAAATGCTAGAGAAATAGTAGAGTCCTTCTAGAGATTTACAGTCCAGTAGGAGAAATGGACATAAAATGTAGTGCCAAAATGAAAATATATTTGCAGTGTAACTTGGAACCAAAGTTAAGAGTTCTTATTTTACCTTTGGAAGTGAGCAGGAAAGTGAGTTTAATAGAGACAAAAAAGGGAAAAACTTGAAGGACAGCAGTTCATAGTTGTAAAGTTCCTGTCTCTACAAGGCCCTTAAGGAGCATACCTAGAGACAGAACTTCTAGCAGCCTAGTGGGAGGATTACCTGAGATCAGAATCTTTGATACTATATGACCAAGATCTAGCTTAAAGATTGTTTCACTAGCTGCCTCTGATGCAGCCCATTCACTAATATGTCAAATTTCACAAATACATCAAATCTCACTATCAAAAGAAAAGAATGACAGCTAATATCTATTATTTACTATGTGATAGGCAAGATTCAGAGTGGCATACATATATTTACTCATTGAATATTTACAATAACCCTTCAGTATTATAATTATTACTCCTATTTTATAAATCAGAAAATTGAGTAACAGAGAGGTTAAGTAACTTGTCCAAAGTTCACACAGCTGGTATGAGGCAGAGCCAGTATTCCAACCAAGGTACTTTGATCCTCAGCCTGTGAATTAGCAACTCTGCCTCTCAACTTACCATATTGAAAACTGAGACCAACAATAAAATATTTCCAAAGCCAAAGAGGAATTTCCAGATACTGCAATTTCAATGAGACTAAACTGAAATTGTTCACTTATCAACCATTTACGGAATCTCTGAAATTCTTTATCACAGTACTCAGGAGTTTAATTGAGAAATAATAGCTAATTACTAATTTGCTTTCCAAAAAAGATGATTCCTGCTAGTTAACATTGTTTTGTTGAGTAAAGTTTGCAAATTTAGGCTACATTACAGGAAACCACGGAATTCTAGGAGAAGCAAAAGTCTACCACCCATCTTTCTTTTTCCTCCTTTCTCTAGTCAGTCCTCAGCCTTTTCTCTAAGTATCGAAGAATAACTTAACATTATCAATTTGATGAGGTGGTAGCCTCCCTGGACAGCCTGTATATGTAAGCTTGACCTACATCAACGACCACAGTTCATCACTGGACACTTGGTCCGCATGGAAACTGAGTGCTTGTTTGACAAAGTGACTTATTGAAAACGTACTTACTGCATTGGTCTATCCGTACATCACAGTTCTGAAGGTGGCTCCTAGGAAGGAATGAGCACCATCTGCCTGAGGCAGACTCACTTCGAGGCTCCGAACCAGAGCAACAAGAAAACGGATATGCTGTGGGCCTGCCGGCCCCAGGCTTTTCACCCTTCCCATCCCACCTCCTCTTAGGAGGAACAGCTGGCCCCTATCTTCAGTTCATTGTAAGCCTAATGAAAATACCAGCTGCCTGAAATAAACAAAACCTATAATTGGCAGCGGTACACTTATCCCCACTCACCTGAGTCTTCAACCCATGTGCACCCAACAAATAGCCCGCAGGGATAAATGTCTGCCTGATTGGGTATTTCTGGCTGTGGAGTGAAAAGAAGAAATCATCAGAGCCTTAAAGTTTCTTGGGGTCTTACCCCTGCTCTCTTCCCTTGTTAATATAGGAGAAAGGACACAATAGGCACATACCTGTTCACACCACCACTTCTCCAGCCTAAGGGAGTAAGGATTTGCCTCTTCTCTCCCATGTTCTCTCTGCCAATGGTACTTCACATGCGAACAGTACTTGAGTAACAGTTTACTTTCCTATGGAAGTGCTAGAATTCATAGATGTTCTTCATCAAGCATGCTTTCTAATGTTTTCCAGTCAATGATAAATTGGAAATAGGAAAAGGAAGTTTGAACTCAATTCTAAACAACAAGGGTTTTTCCGAGAGATATGTAAAAACAAATTTATATTCAAAAGTAAAACCATTGGCGGGGCGCAGTGGCTCACGCCTGTAATCCCAGCACTTTGGGAGGCCGAGGCGGGCGGATCATGAGGTCAGGAGATTGAGACCACGGTGAAACCCCGTCTCTACTAAAAATACAAAAAATTAGCCAGGCGAGGTGGCGGGCGCCTGTAATCCCAGCTATCCGGGAGGCTGAGGAAGGAGAATGGTGTGAACCTGGAAGGCGGAGCTTGCAGTGAACCGAGATCGCAACACTGCACTCCAGTCTGGGGAGACAGAGCGAGATTCCGAAAAAAAAAAAAAAAAAAAAAAAACCATTGGCAGATCTATTATTGCCTGTTCTCAGGAAATTTAATTTTTTAATTATTTTCCCACTTACTGTGGTAATCTCTTTGACAAACTTTCATATACCCTCACTTTCAAGCCAAGGTTTTTGAACCACACTATTGAAATATAACTATGATAGAAATAGTAAACCTGTCATTTTTTTTTTCCAGGATGGAGTCTCACTCTGCTGCCTAGGCTGGAATGCAATGGTGCAATCCTGGCTCACCGCAACATCCACCTCCCAGGTTCAAGCAATTCTCCTGCCTCAGCCTCCCGAGTAGCTGGGATTACAGGCACCTGCCACCACGCCCAGCTAAGTTTTGTATTTTTAGCAGAGACACGGGTTTCACCATGTTGGTCAGGCTGGCCTTGAACTCCTGACCTCAGGTGACCCAACTGCCTTGGCCTCCCAAAGTGCTAAGATTACAGGTGTGAGTCACTGCGCCTGGACAAAACTGTCAATATTTTTATTTGTCTTTCTTAGTTGGAAAATTAAAGGAAAATATTCATTTTCTAATTTTCTTAATTTTTCCCCTTAAGAGACTTGGTGAGTGTGAGGTTATTACTGTAATAACAAATATCCTTTTTCCTGCTGTGGCCTTATTCCAATAATTAAGATCCCTTCCCTTTTTTTCTGAATCGAGAAGAATTTTCTAATTGGCAAAGGGTACTACTACCTGTGGCATTACTGAGTACAATGTCACGGCAATAGGCCATGTATCCTAGCAATGTAAACTGAATAATAATATAGTAACTGGCTGAAAAGGCATTTTGTTTGGGGCACGCCGTGGACTCTCCCAAATAGCTAAGGAGCATAATTTTGATAAATTATATAGTTTTATTGTTATTAACCTCTGTGAAAAAACATTTGATTTTCTTTATGAAAAATAGATCTACTCAGATCTTGGAGGGGAAAAAATTCTTCCTTCAATTATACATCAGTGGAAATTATGAAAACTTTGGGAAGAAACCAAAAGAAAAATCATTCCAATAAATCCAACTTTTTTCTGTTATTTTTAAAATGAGTAATGTCATTTTGAATTCCCAAATCAGAGGGCATGTACTTTGGAGAAAAGAAAGGATGAAGATAATGATATTAGCAATTTCCTCTGAGTCAGAAAACTTTAAAAATTTTAGATAATTAAAGAGCACCTCAATACAGAATAAAGAATAAAAGGATGTCCTGTGTTTGGAAAAATTTTATTTTAATCTTAGATGAAAAAACTATATAAAAATGTAGTTCTAAGCCATAAAAATAAAGGAGTTCCTAAAGCAGTATCCATCACTTCTTTTCTTCAAAGTTCGTATAAGAACCTAATAAAATTGGCCTATCCCTTCTCCGTATACCTGTTGCACACATTTACTCACCTGTTCTTTTTGTACCCTATACTAGTCTGTTATTCTCAAATTGTTTTGAATGTGTAAACCTAACTTCTGCAAATTACAAATTCTTTTAAGTCAGGGGATGTCACTTCCAGGGGATGTCTCACAATATCTAATGTTAGCTATATAATGAGCATTGTGCTAAGCATATTTATGACTCATTAACCCATTCTTACCTCATGTAAAATTCCTTTTTAATAACTTCCACATCCAAAGTGTTATGTGCGAAGATAAATACATGGAAAGAAATCGCATTTTCACCCCGAAGCCCCTAAGGATCAATCAGTTCTTGATCATCACTGTAATAAATTTAGCAAGTGTAAACAACTGTGTGTCTTCTCGTTCATTCAAGCTTTTAGCATCTGGTTCAATGTCCTCCTTTCACCCAAACACTTGCCAGCAACTTGGCTGATATCAGTGTGTACATGAATGACCCAGATGAACCTTAGCATCTGTTTTTTAGGATAATTCTCATGATATCTAATGTTAGCTATGTAATGAGCATTGTGTTATGCATATTTATGACTCATTAACCCATTCTTACCTCATGTAAAATTCCTTTTTAATAACTTCCACATCCAAAGGGTTATGGTGTGAAGATAAATACGTGGAAAGAAATTACATTTTCAGCCTGAAGCCCCTAAGGATAAAATAGTTCCTAGTCATCACTGTAATAAATTTAGCAAGTGTAAACAACTGTGTGTCTTCTCTTTCACTCAAGCCTTTAGCATCTGGTTCAATGTGCTCCTTTCACCCCAAGACTTGCAGGCAATATCCATGTGTACATGTATGACCCAGATGAACCTTGACTTGGCTGATATTAGTGTGTACGTGAATGACCCAGATGAACC
Organism: Homo sapiens; assembly: GCF_000001405.40. NCBI lineage: Eukaryota > Metazoa > Chordata > Mammalia > Primates > Hominidae > Homo > Homo sapiens. The sequence continues at coordinate 111,007,683 of NC_000005.10, forward strand.
TTAGCATCTGTTTTTTAATCTCTCATTTCCATCATCATAATTCCACATTAGTAAACTACTTCCATAGATAGATATGTAAACTTATTATCTTATAATTATCAACTCTTGAAACATTAAATCTTTCAATTCCGTAATTATGATCTCAGACCAATTCAGTTTCTTCAGGCTGATTTTCCCCATAAACCCTTCCAATCCTCTATTTTCTCCCAGTCCTCTCTCGTCTTGTCACCACCTTTCATATATACCCTTGATCATATCATCTACCTACCTCTTCATCCTCTATATTGCCAATATTATCATCTTTCTCCTGTTACATTTCTCTGAAAAATTCAAATCTGGACCAATGTGAAAAATTCATCTGCATCAGATTTGCAGAGTATTGTTGCTAAAAATAATACAATATTATATTACAGGTTGTTGCAACTACAAATTCATGCTCCTTGACCTCAACCAGAAATTCTACACTGGCCAGAAGTGTTTCTCTATTTAATTTTACTTCCTAATCCTCACATCATCAACAACTACAATAATATGGTGAGTTCCTATTATTTTTCCTGCCCAAAATAGTACCCTTCCTTCTTCTAGGAAATTCTTTTTGAACGGGAGATGGCACCTTCTTACAGATGTCATACCACTATCTGCTGTGGAGGGTTCCAAGTGGGCACCTGGGCCAAGCTTAAACAGTTTTAGTTTCCTGCTTACCCAGAAATATTTGATTGATACAGAAATGAAAATATGGCCAAAGCAGATAAAATGCAGTTCCTCCACAGATACTTTTTTAAACTAGAAGTGAAGAAGAAGAACGGTAAGGAAAAAAAACAAAACGAAAAGGGTAAGAGAAAAAAGAAGGAAGAGAACCACAATCGCAGTAGAAATGTATAAATACGGTCACATCCATAGTGACCTCTGAGAGCCAGGATCCAAACCTAAATATCTCTGATGTGGAGCCAGTTCTTTTTTTCTCTCTCTCTCTTTTTTTTAAATTACATTTTAAGTTCTGGGGCACAAGTGCAGAATGTGCAGTTTTGTTACCTAGGTATACACGTGCCATGGTGGTTTGCTGCACCCATCAATCCATCACCTACATAAGGTATTTCTCCTAATGCTATCCCTCCCCTAGTCCCCCCATCCCCCGACAGGCCCCAGTGTGTGATGTCCTCCTCCCTGTGTCCATGCGTTCTCGTTGTTCACCTCCCACTTATGAGTGAGAACACGCGGTGTTTGGTTTTCTGTTCTTGTGATAGTTTGCTGCGAATGATAGTTTCCAGCTTCATCCACGTCCCTGCAAAGGACATGAACTCATCATTTTTTATGGCTACATAATATTCCATGGTATATATGTGCCACATTTTCTTTATCCAGTCTATTACTGATGGACATTTGTCTTAACCACTATCATACAAACACTCACAGCTCTCCCTATGCTTCCTACATGCCACCACCCCTCTCACTCAGAAGATGACCTTGAGTCCCATTTTAAACAGAAAATATACGTCATAAGAGGGGAACTCCTGCAAGTTCCTGCCACTACACTGGCACAGGTTTTCACGTCCACACCCTTTACTTCATCTCTATTTGATAGGATGAGAGAGAATCCCTCTCTCAGAGGCTCATCACCCCAGTGCTCTGTTTCTAGCCAGCCTGCTCAGCATTACCTGCTCCTTTGATTATTTCTGTTCTCTCCTATGTCCCCAGCCTCATTTTCATTACGCCTTTTCCCTGTCAGTATAAAATCGCACTCAAATCTTGCAATTCTTAATTAAATTTTTTTTCAGCATATCCCCATCCAAATACTATCCTGCTGTTTTCTTTCCCAAATGATCAAGTCCTTTTTCTTTCATTTGGCCTCTGGTACAGGAAACTAGATTAATCATAATTTGTGGTTCATGATGATATGTGGTCATCATTTCAAGCCTGGTGATTTTATTTATTTGATTTCTTGCTTTTAATTCTGTAATAATCTGCTTTGAAAGCACCATCTCAAACAAGAGTCAATTTCTTCAGATAAGCTCTAGCCTCTCCATCCCAGCTCCCTGGCTTTCCCCTTTCAAGCTGCCATCCTCCTGAGTCCTATGTCATTCAATCCATGGCTTTCCTTTTAATATAGTTTTACTGTATCTATGTATTCTTAAAAGTATGTTGTTTCACTTTAGTTGTTTGACCTTATAGAAAGAATGTCATTTAATATTATAATGCCAAGATTTATCTCTTTTTAAATGCCACTCTGATTCATTTATTTTGAGTGCTATATGGTATGCCACAGCATTTACTGTTTATCAGGTTAAGGAATTCTATTCATCTTTTTCTAACTTATGAAGAGTTTCAAAGTGATGAATGGATATTAAATATAATCAGATGTTGCCTCTGGTTTCTTTTAATATGATGAGGGGTTAGACATATTTATGGATTTTTTAATATTAAACCTTCCTCATATTCTGGGATAAACCAAAATTGGTTATAGTTCTTTATTAGTTTTAGACACTGTTTGACTCTATGTTCTTTGTATTTATATTAATAAGTGAAACAGCCCTGTAATTTCCCTTTTCCACAATGTCTTTTTATTTTTGGTATCTGTGTTATTCAGACCACATAGAAGCAGCTTGGAAGAAGCTGCTCTTTGCTATTGTCTGGAAGAGTTCCTCCCCAGTAATTCTGTGCTGTGGAATGCTTCGTTCTATTTCATTCATCAACTTGTCTCCAAATGCTCCTTTCAGATTTGTTGACATTTCTTGTCCGTTAATGTCCTCTGCTCTCATATTTACCACTATATATCGAAACAGAAGATAATCCTCAAGCAATTAATTTATTGCTGCATACTATTGCAGAACATTAGTCAACGGACTAAATCTTAAACCAAGCCCTCTGGAAATTTGCAGTGCTTAACTTCAGACGGACAAAAGAGTGCAAGTTTCACATCTCATGAATTTACATATCCCATGCAGTTGCAAGTGTTCTGCAATATATACCACCTTCTTGGGCTGAAAAGCTAAAGTTTGCAAGTATTTTTTGTAAATACAAATAAATATTTTATTTTAAAAACTATTTCTTTATATTTCAGCCACATGGGCTTCAGGAGAGTTCTGAGTTAGAAATTCAAAAGTATTTTCCCCTGACAGTCTGCCACCAGCCCCCATGTATTTTATAAGGATTAGTATTCGCTCCCAAACTTTTTGTTTGGGGGCACAGGAAAAGATTGGCCAGAATTTCAAATTTTTCCTGGAACGATTATTATTCTTTTCATTTTTTCAACTTGTATTGAAGGTCCTGATAGATAGGGGAGACAAATATTTGTGCTTAGTCAACAATTTTATATTCATATTTTCTTTATTTACAATTGGTACCTTACCAGTTTAAACTAATTCCTGATGATGTGCTGTATTCTTTTTCTACCACCTCCTGTAGAAAATAGAAATAATATCTTACATCCAGATGACATGGATTTATTGTATGAACTAAATAGAGATGATCTCAATTCAAGTACTACCAACTAGTTACTGTAATAAAAATAGCCTTACCTGGCCCCTTCTTTTTCAGCCAGGGAACTATCCTACCTGTGCAGAAACTTGTTGGGTTACACACATTCCTCTGAGCCAAGACCAGCTTCTTCAGCCTCTGTCCCACAGTAGATCCCATGGGAGCCCAGTCTATTCTGTAGCCTCTCCTGCTGCAGTTGGAAAACTTTCCATTTGTGCAAGGACCTGCTGGGAGACACATGCCCACTTGAGCCAGTGTGATAGGCACAGCAGCCTCCATTTCACAGTAGATCCTGGGAGAGTATAGTCTCAGATTTTGCTCCTCCTTTTGAAGTTGAGGAATTACACCACTGGTGCAGAGACCTGCTGGGTGATGCACGTCCATCTTAGCCAAAAAGATAAGCCCATCAGCCTCCTTCCCACAGAAGATCCTGGGAGAATCTCAGTCTCAAACTCCAGTCTCTCTTACTGAATTTGGTGACCTATCCCACCTACTTAAAGATCTGCTGGAAGGCACACCAATTTGAGCCAGCGGGACAGTCTTCTGGACTCAGGACCCTGGCCAGCATCCCCACACAGACTCAGTATCCTACTTGGTTCTTCCCCAGGTCCATCTGGGCCAGAAAGCTGCATCAACTTCAATGTCCTTGCAAGACTTGGAATAAGCTTGGGCTTAGAATGTCTTCTAGTGCTGGGACAACTGGAATGGACAGAGAATCAGGGAACACAGCAGTCAGTATGTTTAGAATCCCTGAAAGGCCCTCTAAAGAAGGACAGACACAAACAAAGCCAAACTGTGAAGACTGAAATAGATACCTAATCCCTCAATGTGCAGACATGATTGCATGTCTGCAAGTAGAAAATTCAGGGAAATATGACCTCACCAAACAAACAAATTAAGGTGCTAGAGACTTACCCTAAAGTGATGGAGAGGCATAATCACTCAGACAAAGAATCAAAATAGCTGTTTTAAGGAAGTTCAGTGAACTTCAAGAAAACAGAGAATAAATTTATAAATTTATCAGAGAAATTTAACAGAGATTGAAATAATTTTTTCAAAAATCAAACACAAATACTAAAGCTGAAAAACAAAGTGAGGAACACCTATGGTAGAAATATTTCTCAGGTATGACAATGTCCAAAAGCCTAATTAAGGATCAAGTAAAAATTGGCATACTTCTTAGTATGTGGTTTGTATTTAGCCCATCAACACTGCAAGTTTTGCTTCTGGGCTTGTTTCTCCCTTTGTTTTGTTAAAGGGAAGCTCAGAACCACTATCATGTCTCACTTCTTATCAAATATGTAGCATCTTTGTTGTATGAACTTTTTATACCAACTGTATCCCTGGTATATCTTAATTTCCTATCTTGATTTAACCTTCATTCATCTTTATTCACCTGTTTATTTTTTATCCTACTGTAGTTTATTTGTATGTAAAAGCCACTTTTCTTCTTTTAGGGGAAAAGGATAATATAAAACAAAACAAGGATCTCCACACAGGATGAAATGCAAGCAAACAGCTAAACTGCATCACTAGCTCCACTGCCCTCTCTAACCTGATATCTGAATAGAGTGACTACTATAAAAACAGAGGTCTCAAAAAGCTTTCATTCTACATTTGTTCTACCACTTACTCAGAAACTTTTATGATATACCTACTGTGTGCCAGGTACCCTGATAATTGTTAAGTTTACAAAAATATGTTTAAGTTTATGGTCCTGGACCGTCCGCCCCCAAACCTCAAATTCAAATAAGAAAAGCAGATAAATATACAGATAAGTGTAACAGAGTGTGTAAATATAATACTGTAGTAATAATAGAATGAAAAGCCTCAGGTGTTCAGAGAAGTACAGAGAACTATAGGTACAAGCTAGCTGACCACCCCTGCAAGGTGCATTATTCAGTAAATAGTCTACCTCTAGAGTTGAAATGTAAGGTAACTGGCATGTACATCATATCATACTATCTATGCTGAAGTAATTTAAAGTAAATCAGACATTGTAAGATGTATTGTCTCTTTTGCCCTACCTTGATTTCAGCTACAGATACATATTTCTCCAACAGGAAGTTTACTCACACAATGCATTCCTTGGGATTTGGCCAATTTTAGACTTGTCCCTTTTCCCCACTCTTTCTATCAGGAAAGAAACAAACTCCTGTCCTTGCTCTGTTTCTGTTGTTTTTAAGCATGCTCTTGGGGGGTCTCATTCTTTACTCTCAAAGTATATCCCTTCGAAACAAATCTATTGCTCCTCCTAAGGAGAATCCTGATAATTCATATAAGCATTTTAACCCAGGTCTGTATGATGTTAGAGCCTGAGATTTTAATCTTTCCTTTATGCTAGATCATCTGTATTATATTATTTAATATCAAGAAAATATATGGCTGATAAGACCTGAGATGTTTAGTAAAAACTTTATTAACAATTATCAATTCAAGAACAACTATACCACTGAGTTTTAGAAGGGAGATGAAATATAAATAAAATAATTCTGGAGGAGTCCTTACTGTCTTATTTGAACGGATTTGTCATTTGTCATAAATATGTATATTTGAAATAACTTTAGAATAGTTTCAAGCAGCATGCCAACAAATGGAATTTAAGGAAATTGTAATTACAGTCCTTTCACTTAGCAGATTAATAATTTTGAGTAAGGTATATTTTAATTAAACTTTAAGTTCTGGGATACGTGTGCAGAACATGCAGTTTTGTTACATAGGTATACACGTGCCATGGTGGTTTGCTGCACCCATCAACCCGTCATCTATATTAGGTATTTCTCCTAATATTATCCCTCCCCTAGCCCCCCATCCCCTGACAGGCCCCGGTGTGTGATGGTCCCCTCCCTATGTCCATGTGTTCTCATTGTTCAACTCCCACTTATGAGTGAGAACATGTGGTGTTTGGTTTTCTGTTCTTGTGTTAGTTTGCTGAGAAGGTTTTATGTTTCATTTGCTTCCTCTGATATTGGTAAGTGTTCTCACCTCCTTAACTAGTGTGAGTATGGAGATTCTATAACTATAACCAGCAAGGAATAATTAACCATTGGTCACCTTAAAACTATATAAAATAAGAATGAGGGTTTCTCTTTGGAAAAGTGGAATTTTTAACGGGTGGGACTTTACATTTCATATCTTTCAATCCCTTCTTTCACCTATAAGGAATCAGAGAAGGAAAGGAATGCCTAACAGTAAAGAGCTGGGTTAGAATAACTTTTCAATTTACTATACTGACCTTGAAACCCGTATCTATATCATTCAGCCTCTTCCTACATCTTAGGTACAGGTGAAAGTGTAGTTTAGATGACATATGACCAAATGCTCTGACTTACCTTTTAGCAAACATTTTAGAATCCAAGCATCCAAATGAGGGCCTGCTGTCATTGGAGGTTCTAAATTCATCCTTACAATGCCCTTGACTTTCATGGTTCTCTCTCTCTGAATTTTTTCAGTCCCCAGTTGGCTCAGCTCTATATAGAAAAAATAAACACAAGTACATCAGGCTAATCGTGCAAAACCAAACCTAAGTGTGGTGATTAATGTCACAAGTTTACTGACTAATTCATTCAATAAATGTTTATTCAGCACCTATTACAAACTTATTTATTGTTTGTTCCCCATTATCCTTCTTCCTTTTCTAACATCTTTTCTAACAGCAAAGGAATTTCTTTTGGAGGAATGTCCTCTTTTCTATCTAATACAACCTGGTTAGATTCTAATTAGCAGCCTTTTCTCCTTAGGGGGAAAGTAGGCATATCTCAGGCAGGCCATCAGATGTTCTTTCCTATAATTTGAATCTTTGGCAAAGAGTCTAAGATATTGAAAGTAGTTGGAGTTCCATCTTGACCAGTGGCAGCATTCTTGTCAGTGGCTAATGGATCATTAGTCCTCATCTCCTGTCAACAACATGAGCTCCGAAAATCCTTACTGCAATTTAGCTTTTGCTTATATTACCCATAGTTGTTTTCTCTTGTTTGTAACCAAAGAACTTAGCTGATAAATTACCTTTCATGTATTCACTACTATGTTAGATGCTAAATACTAACGACAGAAAAAGAACATAAAGTAATTAAAACACAGATCCCTATCCTTGCAAGATCTTTCTGTACAGTTTTAAAGTACAATACATGCATATAAGAAACAAATACAAAATGCAAGAGGTCACTAATTACCAAATAGACTGTTTCAGACAATGAGAGTTGTTGGAGTCCAGAGAAGACAGGGAAGATCAGTAAAGGGTAGGCCTTAAAAAATAGGTATTAGATGTAATAGCAGAAGAAAAGGGAAATGACCTTTTAGAAGTGAATGGTCAAATAAACGAGAACTTTGAATTCAAAATGAGCAAAGTGTGTTACAAGAGTAGTAAGAATTGTTCTTCAATAAGATGATAATCTTCTCAACAATATAGGATCACTTTATTTAAAGGAAATGAGTAAAGCGAGAAACTGAGGACCAACAGCGGTCTTGAGGAATGAAATGCTCACAGAGGATACTGGAAGGAGGAAGCCAGGAGCAAGCCAGCAAAGGAGTCTAATACATGAGAGATGAGAAAGCAAAGAATCAAGGACATTTGAACTGGTCTTTCGACAAGCGTTTAACTTCTCTGGTCCTCAATTTTCTCAACTTTAAAATGGGGGCAATCACGGTACCACCTTAAAGGGTGTTGTGAGGACAAGGTTAGTTATTAAAGTACTTACAATATTTGGGCTAGATTAATAAGTAATACAAATCTGCATTTTCAAGGAGAGTATGACCTCTGTTGCTCAAGCCTCCAAGAAGTTCAAGTACAAGTCAAGAAGTGCTCCTGAATTTAGTTACTTGTTCATTATTGACTATCACGAAAGTAATTTTGAGACAGAATGTGACAATTGTATAAAGAGAGAGTGAGTGCTGAAAAAATGGAAGGTGTTGGATTTTTATTCAAAAGTTTCATAGTGAAATGAGAGAAATCACTTGATAAAGAGCAAGCAAGTACGACAACATTCCAAAGGCAAGGAGGAAGGGAATAAGGATGAGAATATATTGAGTTTCAACCTAAGATTTTCATGGAAGTCAAAGAAAAATCCAGGACACAGAGTAGTTTATCTTAGGGAATTGATTGCTTCTTGTGTGTGTGAAGTAAAAGTATGTTAAGAGTGAAAAGAATGCATTGAAGTGGAGAATAAAATATATAATGAAATTCAGGACCAATGGACACAATGTTATCAGGAAAATAGAAGAGGCCAAATTTTGTGAAGAGGCCAAATTTTGCTTGTGAAGACAAAGTTACAGAAAGCTGTAAAATACCAGAAAATGGCAAATCTTCGTATATCTTATTGAGACTTTCTACTATCTTAAGAAATTTCGAGTTCAAGTGCTCCCTAAACACTATCCTAGGGTTGAGTCAGGAAATCATTTCTATCCAGTTAGGACTTCATAGAACTGGATATCCACCCAAAAATATATATTCTAAAATTGCTTATCTCAGAAAAGATTTTAGTTGTTATTCATAAGGTGGAGTTCCAGCATATACAAAGTTAACTTACATAGATTTGGCCATTACATCCTTTGTAAAAAATAATTATAAATTCTGTCATTCCATTATATGAGCTCAAGCTAAAGAGTGAACACAAAAAGAGAGCTATGTCCCAGAGTGTTTCTTACAGCAATGAGCTGTCATTTTGCTAAGTAATATTCTAGTTCACACAACGTGACCTGTAAACTCTAGCCAACTTCTCTTCGGGCACTTAAACACACACACACACACACACACACACACACGCACACAATTTTTTTTTTCCTGCTAGACTGCAATATTTGTTGCTCTTGGCTTCCTGGCATCCAAATGCTCTCCCACCCCTTGTTTGAATCCTGATCTCCCTTTGGGTGGAATTTCCCCATGAGTAAGTTTCTCATGGGAGAGCATTTCCTATCTCTTGTTGCTCATGGTTTATCCCACCAAAAAGAAAAAAAAAAAAACCTATCTTTGTCTGCTTCCTGGTACAATTAAGCAGTGGACAACATCACCTGAGCTCAATCCACTAGAATTTGTAATCAGAAGAAAAGGATGCAGAGACAGAATAGCTATTTGAAGTCCCAATCTATTACAGCAGAAGTACTGAAGCACAGACCAGAGTCTATCCATGCAGCCTGGCCTTTGAATGCCTCTTGGTTTTTGCCCATTTATCAAATCCTATTGCCTGTTGGTTCCCAGTAAAGGATAATCTCTTGATAATCTTCTAATAAACAACTCTTTTGCTTAAAAAATGTCAGTGTCATTTTTTGTAACCTGTAAACAAAAAATAATAAAAACAATACTCACTGACACTCTAAAAGAAGAATTGACCACGTTGAATCTATTGAGAGGCAGAACATCAATATCACAGGTGGCAACTGCTTAGGAGAATTTCAGATGCAGTTTTGACTATGAGATTTTGCCTTACATGCTGACATTGGAACCTAACTTCCACTTACTAAGTACCTCTAATGCAGTATCACATATCACAGTGAAATGTTGGAAGCAAACTAAAAGTTCTACATAAGAAATTATCTAAAAAATAAAAATCCATAGGCTATATATGGATTATCATGCAACTATTAAAATCATATTATTAAACAATATAAAATAACATTTTAAATGTTACTGTTATTACCAAATCATTTGGCTAGTATGACCCCATATTTACTCATTATTATCTTTAGAAAAATGACTGAATATTATATGTATTGTGGGAATTAAGACTCAGAAAAAGCTCAGCTTTAGATAGAAATTTCCTCATTTGGTCATTCTTTGTTTCCTACATAGCAATCCAAATGACACATATCTTAGTAATCGCATGCCCACATACAGAACTCAGAAAACCAATTTTTTTACAAAAACAATATTTAACCATGGCTGAAAATAATTTTCAATGGGCCATATCCTTAGCAGGTCTTTAGAATCTTACTAATCTGTTCTCATTGTTATTATTGATGTTTTTGGTATGGGCACCCAACCCAGAGAAATATTCACCTGTAGTTCTGCGTGCTACATTTTATCACTGATTTTTAGTAGAAAAAAATTGCTGCACACAATAATTATTTTATATTAATTATTTACTTAATAGGGTGATAAATGTCCTTGTTGCCTCCATTTATCAAGTAGAATTTTCACAAAATCCTTGTTCAGTGAGTATATAATCCTATTTTACAGATGAGGAAAGATAGGACCAAGAAGGTCACACAAGTAAGTGGTGGAATATGGTCTACCTATCAGTCTTTCTGCTATAACTTACTGATTTGCAAACTATCTATTCTCATAATTCATTCCAGAGCATGAAATGGAAATTGTTGAACCATACATGTAGTAGAAGGTGGGCACAGTTGGCCATTCGACTTGGGTCTCAGAACGCAATACTTTAGGAAACTCCACCAGGGTCCACAGTTCGGTCTTTCTTATCCATGTGTCTGCAACTTATTGAAGCAACACCTCTATATTAAAATTCATTACAAAGTAATGAATGGTACTGAAATCAAGAGTTAATTAGAATAGAATATAAAGAATCATCTAGTAGAGCAGGGTGTACTGGCATTTGCCTGTAGTTCCAGCTACTCAGAAGACTAAGGCAGGAGGATCATTTGAGCCCAGGAGTTAGAGGATATGGTGCACTTTATGGCACCTGTGAATTGCCACACCAACCTGGGCAACATAGTGAAACCCCATCTCTAAGAAAAGAAAAAGAATTATCTAGCATAGACTAGAATGTTAGAATGTATTATATTA